>NC_000013.11:80242193-80395034 GCF_000001405.40 Homo sapiens
TTGTATTTTTAGTAGAGACGGGGTTTCTCCATGTTGGTCAGGCTGGTCTCAAACTTCCAACCTCAGGTGATCTGCCCGCCTCAGCCTCCCAAAGTGCTGGGATTACAGGCATGAGCCACCATGCCCAGCCTAATCATTATTTTAGAGTGTTCTCCTTCTACCTATAAAATAATTAACTGTAAAATAGCCTCAGGCAGGTCCCGCAGGAGATATTCCAGAAGAAGTCTTCATCATCACAAGAGATGACAGTTACATGTATGTTATTGCCCCTGAAGATCCTCCAGTGGATCAAGATGTGAAGGTGGAAGACAGTGATATTGATGATCCTGACCCTGTGTAGCCTAGGCTAAGGCATGTTTGTGTCTTAGTTTTTAACACAAATGTTTAAAAAATAAAATAAAATAATTTAAAAATAGAAAAAAGCCTATAGCATAAGTATATAAAGACTAAAACTATTTTTGTACAGCTGTGCAATGTGTGTGTTTTAATCTAAGTGTTAGCATCAAAGAGTTAAAAAGTTAAAAAATTTAACTGTATAAACTTTACAAACTTTTACTTTATAAAGTTTATAAAGTAAAAATATTACAGTATGATAAAGTTAATTTATTATTGAAGAAAGGAAAATATTTTTAAATAAATTTAGTGTAGCCTGAGTGTACAGTGTTTATAAAATCTACAATAGTGTACATAATGTCCTAGACCCTCACAGTCACTCACTACTCACTCACTCACCCAGAACAAGTGCCAGTCCTTCAAATTCCATTCATGGTAAGTGCCCTACACAGGTGTAGCAGTTTTTATCTTTTATAGCATATTTTATGGTATCTTTTCCATCTTTAGATACACAAATACTTACCATTGCATTACAATTGCCTATACCCTTCAGTACAATAACATGCTGTACAGGTTTATACCCTAGGAGCAATAGGCTATAGCACACAGCCTGGGTGTCTTGCAGGCTATGCCATATAGGTTTGTGTAGGGACACTCTATGATGTTCCCACAATGATTAAATCACCTAACAAAGGATTTATCAAAACATATTCTCATTGTTAAGTGATGCATGACTGTGCATAATTTCTAATTTTTCTACAGTGAATATGTACAATTTATAACCACAGAAATGATGAAAGTAACTTTGTAAAGATTAAGTTTCTGTTCTTCTATTTGGTTTTCATTTTCTGTAAAATTATGTGTGTATGTAAGTACACATATATGTAAACTTATATTAAGTTTCATCCTTATGATGTTTCTAAATTAATAAGAAAAAATTTTTCTTCTATCCAGTTTATAAAAAAATTAAAAATGGCTGATGCTGTTTAAGAGATATTTCAAGAAATGGTTAATATTATAAATCACCAGTTACAACTTCAGTTTCAATTACGTTTAAAATTCATGTAGGTGCAATGGCTCATCTTTATGGTGAGTGATGAAGTGTGATGTAACTGTGGATAACAAACAGATGAAGTATAATTTCACAGTCTCACATCAATTAATTTCACTTGGCCCAACTTCACTCAGTAATAAAGGTGTTTTTAACTGGCCTCCTTTCTAGTTTACCTCCTTTTTCTTTAGACCATTGCAGGGGCTATTTCTCTCATGATTCTTGGTACTTGGGAAAGGATTAACATTTCCGTATGGACCTCTAATAATCAGACCTTGTCTAAATTGTTCTCCTCATAGCTATCAAATAGCTAATTTAGCATTTATTTTCATACCCCCATCCACAGAATTTTACTGAGTTGGTTTCTGCCATATTCAATTGAATAAGTAATTATTAGATGTTTTTTATGTATCAGCCATGGAATAAAGGGATACACATAACAATGTAATTATTTTTAAAGGGTTCACAAACATGTGAACAAATGTGAACACGTAAGTAGATGTGTGTGTACACACACACACACACAGTGTTGAATTGAGACTGGGATGAGAATTCAGGAGTCAGAGAATGTTTCAGAACACAGATGGCATCAGAGTGGTATTTGAAGTCTGAGTAGTAGCTCATCCTACAAACAAGGTGGAGAGGGATATTTTAGTGAATGCCAACAGCTTGAACAAAGATGTAGAAGCATTAAAAGACATGACGTGTGTAGGAGATAGTGGTAAATTTGGTAAGGACTTGGGCACACGGGAAGGTGTAATTTGAGATGACTCCCATTGTATTTGATGTTACAAAGTCAGCTATCTACATGGTAAGCAGTGAAGAGGCATTATCTGTCTTTAATCACCAAATCAGATGATTATTTATGGGTCAGATTTTTCTCACAGAAAGAAAATTTTGGTGGTGCTAGAGGAGGAAACTGGGGGCAGATACAATTGTCTGGAGGCTCTCGGGAAGAGGGAGATAAGAACCTGAATCAGGATCTTGGCATGGAATTATGTAATAAATAAGACATATTTGAAAATGGTTGTTGGTGAACAGACTTATGAGAAAAGACAAAGGAGAAGTTAAGGGAAACACTGCTTTGTCACTGGATCCGTGCTTTCTAAGACATGTCCTCCACTCCTGAGGTCAGCAGTCATATATCTGTTTATATCTCCCAGACTTATGTCTGCAGGACAGACACACATTATCTAGTTATAACCACCTAGTTATTACCTGTTATAACCACCTAGACCTGGATAGCCCATAAGCATTTCAAAGTCAACAAATTGAATTAAAACAAACATTATAAACTTCTCCTCTAAATAACATTTCTCGGCTATGCTCCGTTGCTCAAAAGGTGGCATCTTCCTGGAGTAATTCATGAGTTCTTTTACTCACCTCCACCCATCCACTTAATTACCAAGTCTGGTTGATTTTTATCCTTGGAATTTTTTTTTATTTATTTCAAATACGCCCTTGCCTTTCTCTCAATACTTTTCTCTACCTCTGAGTCATCAATTTCCTTGAAAACTACTCCTACATTTACTCCATCCAATTCAACAAAAACCCCTGCCAATTTTACCTCCTAAAGATTTATGTTAACTCCACCTTTTTTTGGGCTATCACCATTTCTCCGTTTTATTAGTCAATTGCTTTACAACTGTAACCAGTTCAGTTCCTCAGAAATATTCGCATGACCTATTAGTGCCCCTTTAACTGGCTTCTCCACTTCCCATTCAGTTCATCTTCCACCCCTTCCTCCAAGCACGTAGTCAAACACAGATCTGCCCACTTCACACCTCTGCTTACAAACTTTCATTGCCTCTCTGTCACCAACAGGATGAAGGCTAAGATCATCAGCAGGGCTGACAATAAACGTCCTCTTAGCCCCCATTCCCTCCCCCCACCATCAATTCCCACCACTCCAGGTTTCACTAAGTAGTTTCTAATTACATACATTAGAATAACCATAAATACAAGTTACCAAAATCAAGGCTATTTAGTCATTTCCTGTTCTTTTATGAGCAGCCCATGGTTCTTCAATACCTCTAATTATTGAATTAGAATATATTACAACATTCTCCAAAGGACACACAGTAGTCAAGTAGTCTCAGATAATAATTATAAATGTAGTTCCAGAGCTCTGCATTAAGATATTGAAACTTTAATAGTATTTCCGCAATTGAATTACAAAACAATTACTCCAACTCAGACTAATCTGGTTTATTTTTAACCCTAGCAAATAAAAATAACAATAATAACGATGATGATAATGATAGCTACCATGTATTGAAGACCAGCAATGTCCCAGATGTTGATAAATGCTTCGTCTGCATTAGAGGTTGAGTATCCCATATCCAAAACGCTTGGGATCAGAATTGTTTCAGATTTTGGATTTTTTAAGATTTTGGGATATTTGCATACATATCATGAGACATCTTGGGGATGGGACCCAAATCTAAATATGAAACTTATTTATGTTTGACATATGCCTTATAGGAGGAAAGTAACTTTATACGATTTCTTTTTTTTTTTTTAGATGGAGTTTCGCTCTTGTCGCCCAGGCTGGACTGCAATGATGTGATCTCGGCTCACTGCAACCTCCGCCTCCTGGGTTCAAGTGATTCTCCTACCTCAGCCTCCCGAGTAGCTGGGACTAGAGGCATGTGTCACCACAGCCAGCTAATTTTTGTATTTTTAGTAGAGACGGGGTTTCACCATGTTGGCCAGGATGGTCTCGATCTCTTGGCCTGGTAATCCACCCGCCTCAGCCTCCCAAAGTGCTGGGATTGCAGGCGTGAGCCACCGCACCTGGCCGCTTTATACGATATTTTTGAATAATTATGTGCATGAAATGAAGTTTTGATTGCATTTGGCTGTGACTCATCACAAGAAGTCATGTGGGGGATCTTCCACATGTGGCATCATGTAGGACTTTGGAGCATTTTGGATTTCAGATTTTCAGATTAGGGATGCTCAATCTGTATCTCAATAGCTCTCAAACTATGTATCACTGTCCCTATTTTACAGATGAATATACTAAGTCTCAATAAGACTCAGGGTCTTTCCCAAAATGTTAATGCCATAGCAGAGAGTAGACCCAAATCTTTCTGATTCCAAGGCTCATTCCCTTGTTACCATGACACACTGCTTAATAAAAGTTTGTTAAATGTATGAATATGTACATTAATGTTAAAAAGCATACAAAGTTATCTTTCATTCTATGCTTAATTTCATGCTTCATGTTCACTTATTTTGTAAAAGCTTATAACATTTACAATCATGTTCAAAGGTAGCAACATAGTATCTTTAACCCTGCACTTGACTATAGAAATTCCCCCTTGAATTAACTGCATATCATAAAATATCTTTTTTCTTTTCTTTTTTTTTTTTTTTTGAGACAGAGTCTCGCTCTGTCGCCCAGGCTGGAGTGTAGTGGCGCCATCTCGGCTCACTGCAAGCTCCGCCTCCCGGGTTCACACCATTCTCCTGCCTCAGCCTCCCGAGTAGCTGGGACTACAGGTGCCTGCCACCATGCCCGGCTAATTTTTTTCTATTTTTAGTAGAGGCGGGGTTTCACCGTGTTAGCCAGAATGGTCTCGATCTCCTGACCTCGTGATCTGCCTGCCTCGGCCTCCCAAAGTGCTGGGATTACAAGCGTGAGCCACCACGCCCGGCCAAAAATATCTTAAACATACTTGTGCATCTAACTATGCCAAGCCTCATGTAAGTCTGAAACAATTAAAACCCTCTCAGGGAAGACTTGGTTAACTTTCCTCTTCCCACACACATAAGATGAGAACCCCCTTCTATATAATATTGCAACACTCGATCTTCCTCTTTCATACCATTTTTAGCAATTGTAAATTTAATAAGTTTTTTTCTTTTACAATTATTTCTTTAGGAACTTCTTCCACAGAGAAACTAAGAAGCCCACTGGAGGCAAAAACTTGTTTACCCTCTTCACATTTTCTCCTATCATCTAGCCCTATGCTTGGCATATTATTTTTGCTTTGCATCTATCTGATGAGTAAATGCATGCATCAAAGAAGCAAGAAATACAGATATGTACAAATACTCTCAATGTTAGGAATCATCGAATCTGGATTACAGGTATTGAGGAATGGGAGTTATTGAGAGAGGTAAAAATTCAATTCCAGAAAACCATGGATGACATGAATAAGAGTTATAAACACTAATTAGTAGGCAGTACAATGAATAAAACAGTTTATTGAGTCCTACGATATAAAATAATAGATGATTAGTTTGATTAAGTTCCTATTTATGTGAGTCTTTTTAAAATAGCTTGACAACAATTTGAAAATTTTCCTGAATAATTATCAGATATTTTTTCATCTACTGGTTTGTCAATTAAAACCTTAACCAAATGTAAGCTCTAACACAACATTCACATGGCTCTCTCATATAACTTTTCTAAATTTCTACACCCATGAAATGAAAGGGCTGTGCAATCACAACTCTTCATCTCATAATTCCTGGTTTGGCTGATATATAAGACAAGACTGGGGAACATACAGACATCATGCGGGAGGTACCACATTCTTTAAATAATGCCATAGTTCAATGTACAGTTGGCAGGAATGGTACATTTGCAGTGGGCCTCCTTTTCTTCACCTGAAAAACTAGCCAGTCATAAATTTCAAAAAAACAAAACAAAAACAAAAAACAAAACAAACAAAAAAAACCTCATGAAATTCAGTAGCTTACCTTTTTAAAACTTATACACTTTTATCATAATGTAGGAAGCAATGATTATAGAAAAAACTTGTGAAGAGCAAGAGATTCTGGTATAGTGGAAAATTTACTGCCACAATTAAAGCTACAAAAGTGTGGCTAAGATCTATAGCAAGTCAGTTGTTTTCCAAGTTCTCAGTTATCTTTATAATGTCTGATCATTTATTGTGGTGGCCTCCCAGATGGTTCCAGTGATTTTTACCATTTGGTATTCACATCCTTATATAGTCCTCTCTCACACTGCACCAGGTTGGCCCATGTATTCAATAGCATACAGTAGAAGTAATAATATGTCACTTCTGACATTAGGTTATAAAAAAGACTGTGACTTTTTTCTGAGACTCCTCTCCTCTCTCTCTCTCTTTCATACACACACACACACACACACACACACACACACACACACACACACAGAGCTGGGGCCACCCAGTTGACAATGACATTGAATCAGTCAATAGGGAAGCCATATGGCAAGAAATGGAAGTCTCTGGCCAACAGACAATGAAGTGAAGTCTGTCAGTAACGCTAGTGAACTTGGAAGCAGATCCTTCTGCCCAGTCAAGTCTTGAGATGACTGCAACCCTAGCTGATATTTTGACTGCTACCCCGACCCTAACTCAGAACCAACTGGGTAAGCTACTTCCAGATTTTTGACTCTCAGAAATTGGGTGATAATAAATGTTTTAATGTGCTAAGGTTAGGAATAATTCTATTATTTATTTATTTATTTTTGAGACAGAGTTTCTCTCTTGTTGCCCAGGCTGGAGTGCAATGATGCAATCTCGGCTCACTGCAACCTCTGCCTCCCAGGTTCAAGCAATTCTCATGCCTCAGCCTCCCGAGTAGCTGGGACTACAGGTGCCCGCCACCATGCCGGACTAATTTTTGTATTTTTAGTAGAGATACGGTTTCACCCTGTTGGCCAGGCTGGTCTCAAACCCCTGACCTAGATGATCTGTCCACCTCGGCCTCCCAAAGTGCTGAGATTACAAGCGTGAGCCACTGCGCCCGGCTGGAATAATTCTTACACAGCACCTACTTCACAAAATTGTTATGAGGGTAAAATAAAAGAAAATGCTCAGAAAACTGATGTTTTAAAAAGTACTGTCCAAAGGTCAACATATCATCATGTGTAATTTCATCTCCTGCTAGCTCTGATAGTGGGCGTCTAAAGAAAGACTTCAGCATAATGAATTCAGCTATAAAAATGTTCTCCTCAAATTTCAGTAAAATAAAAGAACTCTGAAATATCACAAGCTGTGTTCATGATTATGGATAACCTCCAATTCACTTTGTCCTACCTCACAATGAAAATTGAACTACAGTAATTTGCTTTCATAAGAAATTTTTTAAAATAAATATTTAGTTTTCCTTATGGAGATATTACTGTTTAACAGTAAGAAGATAATTATCTTGTTGGGATAAAAAATGTCAATGTTACATTCATAATTTCAGCACTAGGTTTAAAATAGATTCAATGTGTGACCATCACATATGCATAGCCAGAAATATTTCCAAGAGATATCTGTCTTTTAAAGTAGCTAACATTTTGGCATGATTCTTCCAAACTGAAACTGGTAATATCTTTAACAGTCACTCTGTAGGGAAAAAAAATACTGTCATTCTCTAAGGTAACTTTGAGATGAAAAATTATAACAGCAGTTAATGCTTTATAGCTTTAAATTCCAGGATTAATATACTTCAGAAATGATTTAACCTTCAGGATTAATGTAATTCTAAAAGTAGTTAAAAGAAAACCATTACTGGCAATAGATGGTCTACAATAATATATGCCTCATTTATGACTCATTTTCCACATAAAAAATGTTTTGACAAATAGATTTAGATGAAGCAAAACGTAATAAATAAATCAAAGAAATGAAAGTCCTTTATGAAACTGTAAAACACCATATAAATAACAAGTATTATAATATTGGCAATGTTATTATGAAAGTAAATCATAAAATGGCATGTGGGGGAAAACGTGGACAGTGAGAAAATGAAAGCTAGACGAAAGAATGAGAGAGGAAATTTAGACTGTCATGTCAAGAGCAATGTCCTTCTTAACCGCTGGAAAAAAAACATTTCCATTAGACGGATAGACTTAAGTGGTTTCACATTGGAAGACCATCATATTCTGAAGAATGGAAATCCATGAAAGGATCTATGAATAATAAAGGAATTGAAAATAGAATAAAGGGCGGAGAGAGGACAAGGAAAAAAAACTGAGATAAAGGATGCTTCTTAACAATATGATTTGAATTTAAACCCAGAACATCTGCTTTTTGTAAAAATCTGTGTATTAGGTCATAATGAAGGAACTTGTTGACTTGCATCTTCAATTGCAAGAAAGAAATAAAAAGATTATTTTAAAAAAACTCGCCATCTCGAGGGCAATAAAATTTCTCTGAAAGGGAAGCTTCTTACAGGCCAATAGCAGCTGTATGTGCATCTTTCAAAGGACACTCTTGTGAAAGAATTTAAATCAGATTTAGTCCATTCATTTTTAGTAATAAAAAATTGTATCCGTAAAGTGATGTCTGTTCTTATTTTTCAATCCTACCATAATTTAAGAACCCAGCATGGCAAAAAAAAAAAAAAGAATTCTTACTTTTAAAAAGTTAATTTTTGAATTAGCCTCTCCAAATGGGCATTAAGAAATATTTAATTCTTCTTAGCTGAAAATCACAAATCTAGATTCCAAAGTTTGTGAACTTCAGTTTTCTTCTTCACTCAAGGCAATGAATTCTCTTGGTAATAGTTGCTAATAGAGTATTTTATTTCTATAAAGGCAACTTTTAAACCATATTTTCTGGGAATTGTATAATTTAGTTTCATTAATTTCTGGGAATGAAACACATTACTATAAACTTCTTAAAGTTCTGGGAAAAAATACCTGAAATAATGTTTACTTCCCGAGAAAACAATTTTTCCCCTCAGAAAATTCTATTAGCCTCAGATACTTACTGGTTTTCTACATCTGGTTATATTTATCTTTGATCTTGCATCTAGAAAAATTATTATTTTCAAACTTGGTTTTACAAATTACTATTTATATGTTTGAATCCCCTTCCATGTTTCAAATGATTTAGAAAAACAATAATCTTTCCTAGCATTTGAATATCCTGTGACCACATTACATCTCACGTGCATCAGGTTAGCACACCCTGGGATAAAGAATCTCACTAGAAGGATAGCACAGAATAGGCACAAGGTGGAGCAATCCAACTCATCAGTTGCAGGTGCATTGAAGTTTTGCAGTTCTTCACTGGCATCATTCCAGCCAGGCCTACAAATTTCCAGCTAGCCTAAGCACTGTAATGGCTTCGATTGTCTACTTTACTGTCCAAATGATTGGCTACTTGCCAAACCACAACTTTGCTTTAGAAAGAGCTCCTCAAGTGAAGAGGAAAGTTAAGACAATCATTGAGATAATTCAGTCCAAAAGAAATGCATTGTGAAAAACCTGCCTTTTTTGACTTTATCAAGATTGGTATTGTCGACATGGATGAAACTCATTGCACAAGTGTATTTTGCCTCCAAAGATGCTTTCTTTGTGTAGAGGACTTCATCCCGCCATCTAATACTGAGCAGTTCTTAATTTAATTGTCTCTTTAAAAAGTTTTTCAGAGGTATATCTGTGTTAACACACAAAAGAGATGGCTTTTTTGCTATCTACATAATTCATTGTGAAGTATTTGATGGAGTGGTTTTTCAAAAGCCAAAGTAGCTTGGTTGACTACAACAAAGTACAGTTATTTTGTTTATATTGTATAAATATTATTTATTTGTTTATTTGTTTATTTATTTTTTGAGATGGAGTCTCACTCTGTCGCCCAGGCTGGAGTGCAGTGGCGTGATCTCGGCTCACTGCAAGCTCTGCCTCCCAGGTTCACACCATTCTCCTGCCTCAGCCTCCCCAGCAGCTGGGACTACAGGTGCCCGCCACCACACCCGGCTAATTTTTTTGTATTTTTAGTAGAGATGGGGCTTCACCGTGTTAGCCAGGATGGTCTCGATCTCCTGACCTCGTGATCCGCCCACCTCAGCCTCCCAAAGTGCTGGGATTACAGGCATGAGCCACCGCGCCCAGCCACCTATTTATTTATTTATTTATTTTTGAGATGGAGTTTTGCTCTTGTTGCCCAGGCCAGAGTGCAATGGCGTGATCTCAGCTCACTGCAACCTCCGCCTCCCAGGTTCAAGCAATTCTCCTGCCTCAGCCTCCTGAGTAGCTGAGATTACAGTCATGTACCACCACACCCGGCTAATTTTGTATTTTTAGTAGAGACAGGGTTTCACTATGTTGGCCAAGCTGGACTTGAACTCCTAACCTCAGGTGATCCACCTGCCTCGGCCTCCCAAAGTGCTGGGATTACAGGCATGAGCCACTGTACCCAGCTTTATTTATGGTCTTTTACAAGAAGAGTTAACATTCCATCTACAAAATATTTGGCTCTCTCTCTCTCTCTCTCTCTCTCTATATATATATATATAATTTTATATTTATTTTATATGTTTTATATATAAATATATATTATATATAATTTATATAAACATTTTGAATTTGTATGTGTGTGTGTTCTCAGAATGGCAGAATTGATATTTCTTCTCCAAGCTCTATTTTCATCAAAGAAAGGAAGGCAATGATTTCTTAAATTTGAAAATGGAATAGAGATAGCAACAATTTTATAAATATGGATATAAGCTGGAAATAGAATGACATAAATAAAATATGAAAATTTTACATAAGCCTTCCAGAGGCTATATTAGCCGAACATTGTCTCCATATAAGTTATTAGTTCTCTAAAAATAATTATCATATAAATTGATTATTTTTTTAATTTTAATTCATATAATAGAGCTTACTGTAGGCTTAAGTGTTATACAAATTTTCACAATAATCTATGAGGTAAGGGCTTTTATTATTTCTTGTTCCTTCCTCAAACATTAATGGTAGTCACTAGAGATGTCCACAAATATTCTGATGCTTCTCCCTCTAGGCACATGGTAAGCTGGGAACAAACAAGTTACCTGTTTGGCCACAGAAATATGTGGAGAAGTGGTGTCTGTCATTTCCTTGAAAAAAACTGACATATTTCTGTGTG
Organism: Homo sapiens; assembly: GCF_000001405.40. Classification (NCBI taxonomy): domain Eukaryota; kingdom Metazoa; phylum Chordata; class Mammalia; order Primates; family Hominidae; genus Homo; species Homo sapiens. The sequence goes on from NC_000013.11 coordinate 80,253,426, forward strand.
ATTCTCAACATCCCCTTCCCAATGCCTTGATGATTGTGGAAAGACTTATCAAGATGGCATTTTCATGATCCTAAGTACCAGAATAACCAACAGTAAAGCCCACATGTGAAACAACTAGAGTAAATTTGGGGAAAAAAAAAGTGTTGAGTCACTGAGATTTTGGAGTTGTTTGTTGCTGCAACATAACTGAGCTTTTCCTGACTGATGCACCAATTATTTCTTCCAACTTGCTCTTCTTAGTCTGGAATAGCATAACCCTAATTTGTCTGTTTATTTTAAAAAATGAATGAAAGGAGGTGATGAGCTAAGGAAGGGAGAAAAAGAGAGAGAGAGATACCTTTGGCTGATGTTGTTAATGCTTTTTACCTTTTTCTTCTTTGATTTTTCCATCTTCCTTTGATAAACATTGAGCCCCAAAATGGAATTTTACAGAATCAGGGTCAAGAATTGGGGCAGGTCATCTCTCAATACAGAAAGTAAACATGGAAGCTTCCCATTTCGAGCTCAATATAAGTATTCTTATTGGCTATGGTGGGAAAACTCAGTTGATTCTAGGATATCAAGTATCTTCTCTTGCTTACTATTAAAAACTCTGAAGATTTAGCCTGCATTCTATGAAATTATCATTTTTATGAGTCAAAATAGGTGAATAATTATAAAACACTTTCAAGATAGTCACCTTTGGCCCCTTCATATAACATTGGAAAGAATATTAATCTCATAAGATACACTCATGAGTTACTTAGACTGAGAAGCTGCATCAAGGGCATACTATTTCTGTATACATTTCCTGTTTCTATAATACTGACATCTTCATAGAGGCCTGTTATCTCACTCCATTGTCACACAACCCTGTGCTCCATGTAGGACAGGGATCAGTTTCTCCCTCTCTTAGTACAGAAACTGAGAAAGGTCCTTGAGGAATTGCCACACTGTCTTCCACAATGGTTGAACTAGTTTACACTCCCACCAACAGTGTAAAAGTGTTCCTATTTCTCCACATCCTCTCCAGCACCTGTTGTTTCCTGACTTTTTAATGATCGCCATTGAACTGGTGTGAGATGGCATCTCATTGTGGTTTTGATTTGCATTTCTCTGATGGCCAGTGATGATCATTTTTTCATGTGTCTGTTGGATGCATAAATGTCTTCTTTTGAGAAGTGTCTGTTCATATCCTTTGCCCACTTTTTGATGGGGTTGTTTGATTTTTTCTTGTAAATTTGTTTAAGTTCTTTGTAGATTCTGGATATTAGCCCTTTGTCAGATGGGTAGATTGTAAAAATTTTCTCCCATTTTGTAGGTTGCCTGTTCACTCTGATGGTAGTTTCTAGAAATACCATTTGACCCAGCCATCCCATTACTGGGTATATACCCAAAGGATTATAAATCATGCTGCTATAAAGACACATGCACACATATGTTTATTGTGACACTATTCACAATAGCAAAGACTTGGAACCAACCCAAATGTCCATCAATGATAGACTGGATTAAGAAAATGTGGCACATATACACCATGAAATACTATGCAGGCATAAAAAGGGTGAGTTCATGTCCTTTGTAGGGACATGGATGAAGCTGGAAACCATCATTCTAAGCAAACTATCGCAAGGACAGGAAACCAAACACCACATGTTCTCACTCACAGGTGGGAATTGAACAGTGAGAACACCTGGACACAGGGTGGGGAACATCACACACCAGGGACTGTCTTGGGGTGGTGGGAGGGGGGAGGTATAGCATTAGGAGATATACCTAATGTAAATGACGAGTTAATGGGTGCAGCACACCAACATGGCACATGTATACATATGTAACAAACCTGCACATTGTGCACATGTACCCTAGAACTTAAAGTATAATTAAAAAATAAATTAATTAAAAAAAAGAAAGTGCGAAAGGTGACTAGATGAAGATCAGAGAGTAGAAAGCAAGAGAGAACTGAGGTCATCAGTACTAACACACACGTGACACCTGTAATAAAAGGTTGCATGCTTTCTGATGCAACGATGTGTTTTATTTTAAACTATACATGATGCCAAAGTAACTATTTAATGTAAGCAGTCTCTTCAAGAATAAGAAAATAAATCAATTATTTAAAGTCTAGCTGTTTCAGTGAATTAACTAATTCAGTGCTAGTGATACAGCCACTTAGATACCATGTCAAATTTATAAAATACCTCTCCTTCCTGAACACTTCCAAACTCTCCCTGAAACTGCTTCATAATTCAATATTTCCATTTTAATTTTGAAGTCTCCACATTAACTTGAAGTTTATGAGGGCAACCTAGATCAGAATCTGATAATTTGATATTTGTTAGTTTCATCTTTGTTTTACTAATCTCACTTTCTTTACTGACGTCCAGGAGACATGCTGTCTTGATTCTCCTCTTAATTCAAGGCTCGTATTCTTTGCTAGTTCATCTTTCTGACCTCTAAATGTTGAACAAACCCAAAGCTCAGTCCTAGAATCTCTTTTTTTTTTCTATCTGCACTCCCTCTCTAACTAATCTGATACGTTCTCATCGCTTCAGATATTACATACAGACTTACAAATTTTAGCTGCCACTTCAACCACTCCCCTGAACACCAAACATATGTATCTAGTCACCTACTCATCTTTAAAATTTTCACAGTTAAGAAGTATCTCAAAATTAAGATGTCAAAAAATCAACTTTCTGATTTCCCACCAAAACCTGCTCCTCCTACATGCTTCCCTATGCCTCCAGTTGCTCAAGCCAAAAGCCTCAGAATGTGCCTTGACTTGCCTCCCCCATCTTATATCCAAGCCATCAAGGAATTCTGTCAGTTACACTGAAAAAATTAATCCAGCATCCTGCCATTTTAACAATCCCTCTAGTTTTCCATCACTGACACTCTGAGCCACATCAGCTATTATTTGGATGTCTGTAATAGTTTCTTAAGTCCTTGCCAAACAAGGTTTGGTATGTATAGCAGGGGCCTGGGCATTACCTGGGAGCTTATTAGAAATGCAGAATCAGTCCTCATCTTAGGCCTATGAAAATAGAACCTTTATTTAACAAGATTCTCTGTGATTTGTGTGCACAGTAGAATGTGAAAAACTTTATCCTAACTGGTCTTTCTCTTCCTTCTCTAGAACATATACATTTCGGTTTCAACATAGCGGCAGCCAGAGCGGTCCTCTTAAAGTGGAAGTGATATTCTGCTTCTCTCCTGCTTAAAACCTTCAGATCTCCCTATCTCCCTAAAAGCAACAACCAAAGTCCTTCCAGGGGCTACATGAACACCTGCATCGTCTGGAGTCTGCTATGACTCAGCCCTCAATGCCTACAATACTCATGCATTAAGAACATATTGAGTGGGTATGGAAAGTCTCTAAATCTTCTGGTCCACGCTTTAGCAAACACGTCTCAATATATTCTACTTCTACAGATGAGTAACTTCATTCTTGATGTTTTGTTTGTACTGATTTCGGTTTTTCACTGAGAAATTGAACTCTACTTTTTCTTGTCTTTAATTTCTGGAAAGCACCTACAAAATTTCCCAAACACTGACTACATTCCCCTAAATGCTTTAAAATCGGTAATTTTTTTAGAGACCTTAACTTTTACAGAGTTAATACTAGAATACTTACAAATGTCACTATATTATGGCCAGGATTTGTATCAAAATAATGGAGGTAGAGGTTCAGGAGTAGACATGAGAAAAGATGAAACAAGATTGGCCATAGGGAAGCTGGTTGTTAAGTACAGGAAGATTGCTTATGTTTTCCTATCAATTTTTGTGTATGTTAGAAATTTGTTATAACAAAATATATTTTTTAATTTTTTACAAATTTGTTAAAATAATTTTCTTCTTTCTTTTGATATCTGAATAAAATTATATGATGTTTACATTTCACTTTGGTGGTAAAAATGAACAACTAAGCTGAAATAATACCTTTTTTTTTGTTTTTGGAGACGGAGTTTTGCTCTTGTTACCTAGGCTGGAGTGCAATGGCTCGATCTCAGCTCACCGCCACCTCCGCCTCCCAGGTTCAAGCGATTCTCCTGCCTCAGCCTCCAGAGTAGCTGGGATTACAGGCATAGGCAGTCATGCCCAGCTAATTTTGTATTTTTAGTAGAGACAGGGTTTCTCCATGTTGGTCAGGCTGGTCTCGAACTCCCGACCTCAAATGATCCGCCCACCTCGGCCTCCCAAAGTGCTGGGATTACAGGCGTGAGCCACCGTGCCCAGCCTTTTCTTTTTTTTTGAGATGGAATCTCACTCTGTCACCCAGCCTGGAGTACAGTGGTGCAATCACAGCTCACTAAAGCCTCAACCTCCCAGGCTCAAGTGATCCTCCCACCTCAGTCTCCTGAGTAGCTAGAATCACAAGCACGTCCTACCTCACCTGGCTAGTTTTCAATTTTTTTTGTAGAGACAGGGTCTCACTATGTTGCCCAAGCTCTTCTTGAACTCCTGGGTTCAAGCAATCCTCCCACCTCAGCCTCCCAAAGTGCTGGAATTATAGGCATGAGCCACCACACCCAGCCTGAAGTAACACTTTAATAACTGTCCTTTATGCTTACGATTTTGTGTCTCCCTAAGCTTTTCTAGATTATATATCTTTGATAAAGGCTATTCTTATTAGGTTTTCTCAACAGCAGATCATCTTGGCCAGGCGCGGTGGCTCACGCCTATAATCCTAGCACTTTGGGAGGCCAAGGCGGGCAGATCACAAGGTCAGGAGTTCAAGACCAGCCTGACCAATATGGTGAAACCCCATCTCTACCAAAAATACAAAAATTAGCCGGGCGTGGTGATGTGCTCCTGTAATCCCAGCTACTCGGGAGGCTGACGCAGAAGAGTCCCCTGAACCCAGGAGGCGGAGGTTGCAGTGAGCCAAGATCATGCCACTGCACTCCAGCCTGGGCAACAGAGCGAGATTCCATCTCAAAAAAACAGACAAACAAACAAACAAAAAAACCCAGCAGATCATCTAAATGGAAAAGTTTGTCCTCCACAGAATCAGGAGAAACAAATAACTGTAACTAGTGGTATTAGTCCATTCTCACACGGCTATAAAGAAATAACCTGAGATTGGGGAATTTATAAAGAAAGGGGGTTTAAATTGGTTCATGGTTTCATAGGACAGGAAGCATGATGTTGGCATCTGCTTGGCTTCTATGGAAGCCTCAGGAAGTTTACAATCATGGCAGAAGGTGAAGGAGAAGCCAGCACTTTACATGGCCAGAGCAGGAGAAAAAGAGGGAGAGTGGGGAGGTGCTACACACTTTTAAACAACCAGATCCCATGACAACTCTATCACAAGACAGTACTAAGGGGATGGTGCTAACCCATTCATGAAGGATCCACCCGCCATGATCCAATCACCTCCCACCGGGCCTCATCTTCAACACTCGGGATCATAATTCAACGTGAGACTTAGGCAGGGACACAGATCCAAACCATGTCACTCTTTCAGGTAGCACTAAATTTTGAGGAAAATTACTGTTTACAGTTTGTGGAAGAGTAATGATATCCTACCATTTAATGGACAGTATTGGACTTTCTCCTTCATTTATTAGATTGTTTTCCTGACATAGAATCCAGCACATAGTAGGCACTCAACAAGTATTAGCTGAATAAATTTTTAAAAAGGAATAAATGAATAAGTGAGCAAATTAATGTTGATGACTGTGTTAAGAAATAAAATTTAATCGAATCTTTCCTGCTGTTGAAATTGCATTATGGCCAAACAGAATTTTCTCAAATGATTGCATAACAAAGGAAATTTATATTTCTCATCTGGTTAGAATGGCAAACCAATGTTTGTTTCAGGTTGCATTCTCAGAAAAAGTATTCTTAGATGGAAATTTGCATACAAGAGGTTGGTTGGAAAGTATAAGAGAGAACAGCACCTGTTACAGAGTAAGGGAAGCAGTGTTGGGCAAAAGGAGACTTTGTACTGTGAGACAGTTGTGCCAGAGGCCTCAGCCACTCCTACCTGGAGTTCCAGAGCTGGAGGGCACTTCAGTTGTTCCCAATCAAGAAAAGGGAACCAGGACTTTGGATCCCTTTCACAGAGCAGTAATTACTTGTGGACTGCCCCGAATCTCTCCTCCAAGAGCAATGCCTGGAGAGAGGATGAACTGTGAGCCATCTGCAGCCAAGCTACAATGTCTACTATAATCACCATTTTCATATCCAGTAGAGGAAATTTCACCCAAAAAAGTATTCTATAATTATTTTCTTCTTTGAAAAACAACTTCAGCTTTTATTTTAGATTAAGGAGGTACATATGCAGGCTAATTAAGAAAGAAAATAATTATTTTTTTTCCAAGTATTTCTCAACATGACCTATTCCCTTGCCATATGCTAAATCATTTCTGTGTAAACAGATAGTGAGCTTCTTCTAAAACATGTCCTTCTTCCCTTAAATCTATTATTGTTTTTCCTTTCTTTTAGGCCTCTTATTCCTTAACCTTATATATTCTTTGTTGTTTTAGTTTGTAAACTTTTTTATTATGGCTAAAGTATACACAATGTAATATTGTAGTATTTATCCTTTTTTTTTTTTTTCCCCCTTAAAACAGGGTCTTGCTCTGTTACCCAGACTGGAATGCAGTGGTGTGAGCAGGGCTCACTGCAGCCTCAACCGCTCAGGCTCTAGCGATCCTCCCACCTCAGCCTCCCAAGTAGCTGGGACTACAGATATTCACCACCACACCTGGATAATTTTTTTATTTTTTGTAGAGACAGGGTCTTGCTTTGTTGTTCAGGCTGGTCTCAAACTCCTGACCTCAAGTGATCTTCCTGTCTCAGTTTCCCAAAGTGCTGGGATTACAGGCAGAGCCATTGTGCCTAGACTGTTTTACTTTCTGACTATGAATTTGCCTATTCTAAGTACCTCCACTAAGTGGAATTATACAAAATTTTGCTTCTGTATTCTATGCCTGGCTTATTTCACTAAAGAAGATCCATCCATGTAACAGAGTTTGGCAGTTCAGTCAACACTTTCTCATAACTTTCCAGCATTGTGCTGCAGCATGGGAGACAGAGTGTGGAAAGTGTTGTAGAAAGTTACTAGAGATGGGGATAGAAGAAACAGCATACTAGAAAAGTCAGAGTTAAAGATGTCAAAATGCCAATAAAGAGGTATTTTTTTTCCAGGCTGAGTCTTGCTCTGTCAGGCAGGAGTGGAGTGGTGCAATCATGGCTCATTGCAGCTGCTACCCCTCAGACTTAAGCAATCTTTCCATCTTATCCTCCCAAGTAGCTGGGACTACAGGCACGCACCACCACACCCAGCTAGTTTTCTTTGTTTGTTTGTTTGTTTGTTTGTTTGTTTTTTGCATTTTTTCTAAAGACGAGGTTTCACCATGTTGCCCAGGCAGGTCTTCAACTCCTGGGCTCAAGTGATCTGTCTGCCTTGGCCTCCCAAAATGCTGAAATTATAGGCATGAGCCACTGTGCTGGGCCCCCAATAAAGAGATGATTAAAGTCAATGCTGGGAATGAGAGGCTACTCCTATGACTTCGTGGATCAGAGCCCTCTGCTCCCCTGAACTACCCACACCATCTTATGATTTTGCATGGGAGAGGCAAGTTGCTTTTGTTTATTTTGTTTTCTTTTGTCTCTGTTAAAGCAGTCAATTCAATAATTTATTCAGGCAAGAGTGCTGCTGCATCACGGAGATGGTGTAACGGTAATTAATGGGAAGAAACAGCTAAAATTCAACCAGTGTGGGATTGTTTCCAGGATTTGTTTCAAGATTTAGAGCTCCTTTCAGCAGTTCTTGTAGTGGTGGCTTGGTAGTGGCAAATTCTCCCAGCATTTGTCTGTCTGAAAAAGACTGTATCTTTCCTTCATATATGGTGTTTAGTTTCACTGGATACAGAATTCTTGGCTGATAGTTGCTTTGTTTGAGGAGGCTGAAGATTGGGCCCCAATCTGTTCTAGCTTGTCGGGTTTCTGCTGAGAAACCTGCTGTTAATCTGATAGGTTTTCTTCTATGAGTTACCTAGTGCTTCTGTCTCATAGCTCTTAAGATTTTTTCGTTCATCTTAACTTTAGATAACCTGAAGACAGTGTGTCTAGGCGAAGATCATTTTGTTATGAATTGTCCAGGTGTTCTTTGTGTTTCTTGTATTTGGATGTCTAGGTCTCTAGCAAGGCCAGGGAAGTTTTCCTTGATTTTTCCTGCAAATATGTTTTCCAAGCTTTTAGAATTCTCTTCTTCCTCAGGAACACTGATTATTCTTAGGTTTGGTCATTTAACATAATCCCAGACTTCTAGGAGGGTTTGTTCGTATTTATTCTTTTTTCTTTGTTGGATTGGGTTAATTTAAAGACCTTGTCTTTGAGCCCTGAATTTCTTTCTTCTACTTGTTCAGTTCTATTGCTGAGACTTTCCAGAGCGTTTCACATTTCTAAAAGTGTGTCCAAAGTTTCCTGAATTTTTTATTGTTTTTTATTTAAGCTATCTATTTCCTTGAATATTTCTTCCTTCACTTCTTGTATAATTTTTTGGATTTCCTTGCATTGGGCTTTGCCTTACTCTAGTCCCTCCCTGATTAGCTTAATAACTAACCTCCTGAATTCTTTTTCAGGTAAATCAGGGATTTCTTCTTGGTTTAGACCCATTGCTGGTTAACTAGTGTGATTTTTGGGAGGTGTTAAAGAGCCCTGTTTTGTCATATTACCAGGGTTGGTTTTGTGGTTCCTTCTTATTTGGATAGGCTCTGTCAGAGGGAATGTCTAGGGCTGGAGGCTGTTGTTCAGATTCTTTCGTCCCATGGGGTGTTCCCTTGATGTAGTAGTCTGTCCCTTTTCCTGTGAATGTGGCTTCCTGTGAGCCAAACTGCAGTGATTGTTATCTCTCTTCTGGGTCTAGCCACCCAGCGAGTCTACACAGCTCTGGGCTGGTACTGGGGTTATCTGCCCAGAATCCTGTGATGTGAACCATCTATGGTTCTCTCAGCCTTGAATACCAGAGCCTGTTCTGGTCCAGGTTTCAGGGGTTGCAATGGACTCCATGAGGTTTCTTAGCTTTGGTGGTTTAATGCTTTATTTTTGTGCTGGTTGGCCTCCTGCCATGACGTGGCACTTTCCAGAGAGCATCAGCTGTGGTTGTATGGGGAGGAACTGGCAGTGGGAGGGCCCTAGAACTCCCAAGATTATTTGCCCTTTCTCTTTCACTACCAGGGTGGGTAGGGAAGGAACATCAGGTGGGGGCAGGGCTAGGCATGTTTGAGCTCAGATTCTCCTTGGCCGGTCTTTGTGCGGCTGCTATGGGGAATGGGAGTGAGATTCCCAGGTCACTGGTTGTGTATCTAGGAAGATTATGGCTGCCTCTGCTTAGCCATGCAGGTTATCAGAGAAGTGGGGGAAAGCCAGCAGTCACAGGCCTCACTGAGCTCCCACACAAACCAAAGGGTTGGTCTCACTCCCACCGTGCCCCTCCCAAAAGCCCCCAGTCTGTTTCCAGGCAGAAAGCAATACAGGCTGGAAAACCTGCCCCAGGCTACCACCTCCCAGCTGTGAAAGAAACCAGCTTGGGTCTTACCCCACCTGTGGAGTTTGCACACCGGATTTGCGCCCTCCCTGGAGTTTTGGCCAGGAGGCTTCTCATCCCGTTCTAATTGTTACTAAATTCAGCTGGAGATTTCCTTCTCCCTCTGTAGTTTTACCCCCTGCTCCTGTCCCATTGGATCCTTGTGGTGCCAGGCAGGAATGGCCTGCTAGGGGACCCAGGGAGCTCCCAGGGCCTTTCTGCTGCTTCTTCTACATCTATATTTCGTTCAGCTCTCCAAATTGACTCAGCTCCAGGTAAAGTTGGAAACTTCTCCCACAAACAGACCTTCTGCTTCTCCAGTGGGTGTGTGTGTTCGGGAGAGGAGGATCTTCCTTTCCCAGTTCCATACTTGGGGCACTCATAGTTTTGGGGGGATCTCCCAGGTCCTGCAGGAGGAGTCCACTTCCTTCAAAAGGTCTGTGGGTCCTCTCTGGAGCTAACATTCACAATGTGAGCCCCCACCCGCTGCTCTGTCCGGAGCTGCAATCTAGTTCTGCCTCCCATCCTCCATGATCGCCAGCATGCTCCCCCATGTAACCATGCTTCATCCTAGGCCTCTGTACCTGTGATGGGAGGGGCTGCCACCAAGATCTCTGATATGTCCTGGAGACATTTTCCCCATTGTCTTGGTGATTAACATTTGGCTCCTTGTTAATTATGCAAATGTCTGCAATCAGTTTGACTTTCTCCTCAGAAAATGGGTTTTTCTTTTCTATATCATCATCAGGCTGCAAACTTTCCAAACTTTTATGTCTGCTTCCTCTTTAAACATAAGTTCCAATTTCAAACCATCTCTTTGTGAACGCATAAAACTGAATGCTGTCAGAATAATCTAGGTCACATCTTGAATGCTTTGCTGCTTAGAAATTTCTTCCGACAGATACCCTAAATCATGTCTCTCAGGTTCAAAGTTCCACAGATCTCTAGGGCAAGGGCAAAATGCCACCAGTCTCTTCGCTAAAGCATAGCATGAATGACCTTTACTCCAGTTCCCAATAAGTTGCTCCCTGGACTTTATTGTTTACATCATTATCAGCATTTTGGTCAAAACAATTCAACAAGTCTCTAGGAAGCTCCAAACTTTCCCACATTTTCTGTCTTCTTCTGAGCCCTCCAAACTGTTCCAACCTCTGCCTGTTACCCAGTTCCAAAGTCACTTCAACATTTTCAAGTTATCTTTCTAGCAGTGCCCTACTCCCAGTACCAATTTACTATATTAGTCTATTTTTGCACTGCTATAAAATTATTGCCTGAGACTTGGTAATTTATGAACAAAAGAGGTTTAATTGACTTACAGTTCCACATGGCTTGAGAGACATCAGGAAACTTACAATCATGGCAGAAGGTGAATGGGAAGCAGGCACCTCTTCACAAGGCGGCAGGAGAGACAGAAATTATAAAGGAGGAACTGTGAAACACAAAACCATCAGGACTCGTGAGAATGCACTAATTATCATGTGACTAACATGTGGGAAACTGACACCATGATCCAATCACCTCCCTCCTTTGACATGTGGGGATTGCAGGTCCCTCCCTTGAGACATGAAGATTACAACTCAAGATGAGATTTTGATGGGGACACAGAGCAAAACCATATCACAAAGTTTGCAAATATATCTGAAATATTGCAGATACAGGGGTGTGTGTGTGTTTGTGTGTGTGTGTGTGTGTGTGTCTATAGAACTGCAAAAGGAATGTTTTTCTAGGAATTTTTTATAGGCTGTAGATGTAAGTAAAATAAAAACAAATTAAATTGAACAGATAGTAATAAAAATTGGGGGCATAGATTCTATATGTACAAGTTTCATAAATGGTCATTCCACTGTTTTCTAAGAACGTCCTCCACTTATTTAAGCAGGAGTACTTATTCCATACTGTAAATGTTGTTTTCTCCAATAGACCCTGAGCTCTGTGGGCCCACCCAGTAACCTCATATCATATGTTCTCAAAGAATATTTACTGGGCTGGGCAAAGTAGGTCATGCCTGTAATCCCAGCACTTTGGCATGCCGAGGCAGTAGCATCACTTGAGTCCAGGAGTTCAAGACCAGCCTGAGCAACACAGTGAGACTCTGTCTCTTAAAAGAAAAAGAAAAAAATTTAATATTTACTTAATTGTTGAGTAAAATTTCACCCTTAATCATGGGCACCCTAGAAGACCAAACCTCACCAATTATTCCATATATCCATGTAACAAACCTCCACACGTATCCCCTGAATCTGTAATTTTTTTTTAATTTCACCCTTCAGATAACATTAGTTCTCGTAAGTGACATCCTGAAGAAAAAGTTTTTATTGCCTTTTGGTTTTCATACAATTTTATTACTCCTTTATGTAGTTCATGGGGTTTGAATGTTATGACTTTGCTTTGTTTTGTACCAATTCCAAATCTGTAAAGAGAAATTAGTTACTCATTCCATCGGTTTTGCTATGTAGGAACAAATGAAACAAGATTTCAAAATTTCAAATCATCTAAATCAAAGCTACTTAAACATCTCAACAAAGTCCAATCCAACCAAAACTGCTGAGTTTTTGCAGTTCTCATTTCAGTACATGCATAGTCATGAAATGAAAATTAGTAGTTTCATACAACTCTAATTAGTAACAGTGGTTTATAACTTCTTTGCAAATCTTCTTGCAGCAAGTTTTAGCTTGGTAAGTGGCCAACTAAATTTCAGCTTGCAAGAACAGGAAGTCTACACTTCTCCTTATAAGCCTGATGGTTCTATCCATGCATGTTACCTATATTCCCCTATTCATGATTGTTATCTTTTATACTTCTTATTTTTAAAATAGATTTGCTGTTTTTGTTTATTAAGAAAAAAGCAATATAAGCTGACTGCAAAAATAGGAAAATTCCAAAAAATACCATATTACCAAGAGATGACCACAGTAAATTTTTGGTGAGTACACTTCCAGACAGCTCATGGTCTATACCTACACATACCTACATACAGCTTTAAATAGAAGCCATTATTTTATGCATGCTATCTTGTAACCTCTTTTTTTATTTTCTGATAGTTTACGGATCATTTTTTCATGCCATCACGGATTAGCATCCCATACATAGAGCTATTATAATAAAAAAGAGATCCTTTGGGTAAGTGTTTCTCGACTATTTAAAAGTCCCCTGCTAATAGACCTAAAGCTTATTTCCAGCCATTCCTTGTTTAAAACAGTGTAGTCATTAAGATTAATATTCTTCACTTATTTTGTGACCACTGGCACAGTTATCTTTTTAAGACCAATTCCTAAAAGTGGAATTGGTGTGTCAAAGACTATAATCATTTAACTTAAGGGGACGCCTTAAATTGTCTCTTCTGAAAGACAAAATTATTTTGTCTTCCAGGAAAATTTACCGTTGTTTTTTGCTTTTCTTTGCTTTGTTTTGTTTTGTTCTATTCTTTAACCAACTTAAGAGTCCCATAAGCAGTCAATGAGAAAACCTGCTTCCCACATCCTTGGCAACTCTGGTATGATTGTCATTCCCATTGCCAATCTGATCTGTGTGGAAAGTGGCATCCTGCTTTTCTTTAAATTTGCATTTAAAAATAGTAAGTGAGGTCTAATTTTTTTGTATGTGCATACATGAGATATTTATATATCACCTTTTGTGATGTTTGTTCATTCTCTTCGATTATGTTTTTAGAAGGAGATAAAATGTTTATTAGCATTTTTTTTCAGAGTCTCATTCTGTCACCCAGGCTGCAGTGCAGTGGCGTGATCTCGGCTCACTGCAAGCTCTGCCTCCCAGGTTCACGCCATTCTCCTGCCTCAACCTCCCAAGTAGCTGGGACTACAGGTGCCCACCACCAACCCCAGCTAATTTTTTGTATTTTTTAGTAGAGACGGGGTTTCACCGTGTTAGCCAGGATGGTCTCAATCTCCTGACCTCATAATCCGCCCGCCTCAGCCTCTCAAAGTGCTAGGATTACAGGCATGAGCCACCCCGCCTGGACCTATTAGGATTTTTAAAAGATATAGATGTTGAATTTTTTTTCTATTTTTTTGAATTTGATCTTTTATACAAATTTCCAGTTTGACATTAGTCTTTTAACTTTTATAAGCTTTTTTGTGTTCATCTTATAGAAATTTTTATTTTTAGTCACATACGTCTTCTTTTTTATGTCTGGCACGTGTTTCAGGATATGTGTGACATTTTCTTACATATTCCGCTTACATAATCCCCTCATACTCTTAAGATTATTTTCCATTTATCCATATTAATTCCATACTGACAAAATTGTGAGTTGGAGTATCTAAATATATATATTCTTTTCTAGAACTTATTTACTTTCAAATAGCTATGCAGTCATTAACATTTATATAAGCTTTTATGGTAGATTAAATTAGGAGAGAGACTCTCCCTAAATCATACCATTGCACTGGGATTACTGCTTTTATGCATGTGTCAATCTCCCCTACTACATATAATGTCTATGTTGTATTTTGGATACAAAAAGATTAGATTACTATTAAGGGGAAAAAAAGATTCACAGAAATAAATGAAAATGGTAGAAATTTTCTATGAATTTGTACGGTACTTTCTGCCAAAAATTCACTGCATTTTTTTTAACATTAGTTTATCTACTTTTAAATATGCCAAAAATAACTAACACATTATAAAATGTCTCCTTTTTTGTTTTGTTTGTTTGTTTCAGACAATGTCTCATTCTACTGTCCAAACTGGAGTGCACTAGTATGATCCTAGTTCACTGCAGCCTCAAAACTCCTGACCTCAAGCGATACTCCTACCTCAGCCTTCAAAAGCGCTGGGATTACAGGCAAAAGCTACCTAACCCGGCCAAAATCAGTCTTAAAAATAAAGGCTATTCTCACTGGGTACGGTGGCTCACACCTGTAATCCCAGCACTTTGGGAGGTCGAGGCAGATGGATCACCTAAGGTCAGGAGTTCACGACCAGCCTGATCAACATGGTGAAAACCCGTCTCTACTAAAAATACAAAAATTAGGCTGGCGCAGCTGCCTACACCTGTTATCCCAGCACTTTGGGAGGCTGAGGAGGGTGGATCACCTGAGGTTGGGAGTTTGAGACCAGCCTGACCAACATGGAGAAAACTCATCTCTACTAAAAATACAAAATTAGCTGGGTGTGGTGGCACATGCCTGTAATCCCAGCTACTCGAGAGGCTGAGGCAGGAGAATCGCTTAAACCCAGGAGGCAGAGGTTGCAGTGAGCCAAGATGGTGCCATTGCACTCCAGCCTGGGCAACAATAGCGAAACTCCATCTCAAAAATAATGATAATAATAAGATAAATACAAAAATTAGCTGGACGTGGTGGTGGCTGCCTGTAATCCCAGCTACTTGGGAGGCTGAGGCAGGAGAATCCCTTGGACCCGGGAGGCAGAGATTGCAGTGAGCTGATATCGCACCATTGCACTCCAGCCTGGGCAACAAAGAGTGAAACTCGGTCTCAAAATAAATAAATGAATAAATATAGACTGCTCTCATTTATAATGCTTTAATGATATAAGCAGGATATAATGTGTTTATTCAAGCCTAGAACCTTAAATTTCTAGTTATGTGATTAAAAATATGCATTTATTCTTTTAAGAATTTGTCAATTTTACTGGAAAATTCTAAGGATACTTTTTTAACAGTTCTTTAAACCACAGACACTGAAGTTTTTTTCTGAGAAAAATAATAATACATGTGTATTTGACAGTAGACTAAAGTGGGGCAACTTGACACATTTATATTTTCTAAAGACAGGGGGCCGGCACGGTGGCTCACGCCTGTAATCCCAGCACTTTGGGAGGCCAAGGTGGGCGGATCACGAGGCCAGGAGATTGAGGATTGAGACCATCCTGGCTAACACGGTGAAACCCCATCTCTACTAAAAATACAAAAAATTAGCTGGGCATGGTGGCAGGCACCTGTAGTCCCAGCTACTCGGGAGGCTGAGGCAGGAGAATAGCTTGAACCCGGGAGGCAGAGCTTGCAGTGAGCCGAGATTGTGCCACTGCACTCCAGCCTGGGCAACAGAGCGAGACTCCGTCTCAAAAAAAAAAAAAGACAGAAGGCATCAAATACCAGATCCTTGTAGCCTTTTCCTTTATCTTTTAAAAATGTGAATTCATTGAGTTGGGTATGGTGTCTCAAGCCTGTGATCTTAGCTACTGGAGAGGCTGAGGTGGGAGGATCACTTGAGACCAGGAGTTCAAGAACAGCCTGAGCAACATGGTGAGATCCCCATATCTAAGAAAAAAAAATTAATTTATTACTAATCATTTAGGAGGCCATTGTGTTATAAATTAGATTACTTCAATACACGAAAGAGAATTTAATTGAGAATTTCAAATGAGACCTCTTATAGGTAACAGCCTAATTTGTCATTTGGAAATTCTTGTCCTCCTTCTTCCCCTAAAAAGCCTTTGCTACACCTTGGGCTTTCTGCAAAGGTTGTTTAAACTGAGGCACGCTGTTCAAGACTCCTCAATCTTACTAAATGTTTTGTAGAAATATCTTAGCCTTGGATTTTTTTCTATTTTAAAGTAATATCACTAATTTAAAATATCAGAAATATTGTGGAATCTTAATGGTAGTGTACCAATTGCACTCAGAAATGTTCAATTCTGCCTTAAGATTTGAATACTTATACTTCCAGGAATTTCTTTATGCTTGTTCATTATGAAGTATTTGCTTAGAACCGAATTATTTTAGTTAGAGTCCTGGGAGGAAATGTAGATAAATCTTGACAGTCCTGAGAGCTCATGGTTCCATAGCAGCCTGATACCAAAATAGTCTTAAACAAATCTCCAAATTGATGAAGAGTCTGTTGGAGAAGCCAATCTTTCTCTTGAAGATATCTTCTAGAACTTTGTATCACAATCATGTTAAGCTCTAATAAAGTTTCAATGTGCAAGGACATTATACATTCAAATAACTTAGAATTTCCAGAATGGATAATAATTTTAACTTTAAAATAAAACTATTCAGTCATCTGCTAAAGCGATTGAAATTATATTACTCCACTTTTTTAAATGAAATTTTAAACTTGTTATAAAATAATTGGAAAAGGGAAATAGAATTTCTGTTGATAAGAAGGTGAATTTTTAAGTTTTAATATTATCAATTCATGTATTCAGTTCCAAAGAATATGCTAATTATAAAATCCCCTAAAGTAATAAAATAGAAATGATGTGTTTTTATGTCTCTTTTCCCTTCACCTTTTCCAAGCCCTAAAGCCTGGTATTTTGCTCACCTCTCATAAGAGAGATTTCTTAAAAGTGAGTTATTTGTTTGAGCCTGGTGGGAAACCCATTACCAATTTACTGTGACTATTAGCTTCATTCTTCTTGATAGTTGCTTAGTCCAGAAATTCTTTGTAAAGAATATTCAACAGTGCAGAAAAGCAAATCCTTGAGAACAGGGGCTGTTTGTTACCGTAGGACCAATGCCTAGAATGAGACCAGACAAGTAAGTTCTAGTTCTGGTTGCATACCTACTGTATGGCATGCATATATGGTATGCATCCAGAACTAGAACTTACTTTGCATACCTACTATATGGTATGCAACCAGAACCAGAACTTACTTCAACAATTTTTGGAGTGTAGATCTGTTGAAAACAAATTATCTCAGTTTTTCTTTTTCTGAAAGTTTTTATGTTGCCTTCATCTTGGAAAGATATTTTACTAGGTATAGAATTCAACATTGACAGGTTTAGCTTCTTTTTATCACTTTATAGATGTTATTCCATTTTCTTCTGGCTTGCCTAGTTTGCTACTGTCATTTTCATCTTTGTTCTGCTGTACATATTTCTTTTGCCTCCTGCTGATTTGAGATTTTTTTTTTCCATTGTCACTGGTTTTTAGCAGTTTAATTATGATTAGCTTCAGTGTGGGGTTGTTTGTATTTATCCTATGCAGTGTCTCTTGAGTTTCTTGGATCTATGGGTCTATAGTCCTCATCAAATAATTTGAAAAAAAATTAATCAATTTTTTTTTTTTTTTGAGACAGAGTCTTGCTCTGTCACCTAGGCTGGAGTGCAGTGGCACGGTCTTGGCTCACTGTCAGCTCCATCTCCTGGGTTCAGGCCATTCTCCTGCCTCAGCCTCCTAAGTAGGTGGGACTACAGGCACCTGCCACCATGCCTGGATAATTTTTTTTTTTTTTTGTATTTTTAGTAGAGACGGGGTTTCACCGTGTTAGCCAGGATGGTCTTGATCTCCTGACCTCGTGATCTGCCTTCCTTGGACTCCCATAGTGCTGGGATTACAGGTGTGAAAGCCACTGCGCCCAGCCTATTAATCGATATTTCTTGAAAGGGTTTTTCTGTCCCTTGTCTCTATCTTCTGCCTCTGAGCCTCCAATTACACCTATGTTAGACACTTTATATTACTCAAGGGTAAATGATACATTTTGTTTTTCTTTCTTCTACGTGTGCTTTATTTAATGTTGAACTAGATTTGTATATCAGGGATAAATCCCACTTGCTTGTGGCATATAATACTTTTTATGCATAGTTGGATTTGATTTGCAAATATTTTGCTGAGGATTCTTGCATTTACATTTAGGTAATGCAATTGGTCTGTAGTTTTCTATTTTGTAAAGTCTTTGGCTGAAAGGTAATGCTGATCTGATAGAATAAATTAGAAAGTATTCCCTCTGTATCTATCTTTTGAAAGAAATTGCAGAGAATTGCTATTAATTCTGCCTTAAATATTTGATAGAATTTACCAGTGAACGCATGTGGGGCTGGTGTTTTTGTTTTTGGAATGCTATTAACTGCTGATTCAACTTATTTAATAAATGTAGTCTTATTTAGATTGCCTATTTATTTTTGTGTGAGTTTTAGTGAATTGTATCTTTCGAAGGATTGGTCCATTTCATTTAGGTTGTTAGATTTGTGGCCATAGAGCTGTTCATAGTATTTCTTCATCTTTATTATCCTATTAATGTTCAAGGGATCTGTGGTGATGTCCCCTCTTATTTCTAGTATTAGTAATTGCTGTCATCTTTGTTTTTCTTAGCCTGGTAAGAAACTTAACTATTTTATTGACTTTTTCAAAGAATGAGCTTTTGATTTCATTTATTTTCTCCATTAATTTCCTGTTTTTATTTTCATTGATTTCTATTCTAATTTTTATTGTTTCTTTTCTTACTTTGGATTTACTATCTTCTTCTTTTTCTAGTTTCCTAAGTTGATAGCTTAGATGACTGATTTTAGATATACTTTTTAACATACGCACTTAATGCTATTAATTTTCCCTAAGCACTGTTTTCGCTGGATTCCACAAATTTTGATAAGTTGTATTTTTATTTTAATTTAGTTCAAAATATATTTTAAGTTCTCTTGAGACAACTTCTGTGACCCATGTTATTTAGAGTATGTTGTTTAATCTCCAATATTTTGGAGTGATTTCCTGTTATTAATTTCTAGTTTAATTCCACTGTGGTTTGAAAGCAAATATTGTATGATTTCTTTTCTTTGAAATTTGTCCAGGTGTATCTGATGACCCAAATGTAGTCAATATTGGTGAACATTTTATATGACTGTGAGAAGAATGTGTATTCTTCTGTTGTTGGATAAAGTAGTCTATAGATGTCGATTATGTCTGGTTAATGGTTCTGTTGAGTTCAACTGATGTCCTTACTGATTTTCTGCCTAATGGGTCTGTCCAATTCTGATAGAGAATTGTTAAAGTTTCCAACTAAACAGTAGAGTCATCTATTTCTCTTCACAGTTCTGTCAGTTTTTACCTCATGTATTGTAATACTCTCTTTTCAGGCACAGATACATTAAGGATTATTATATCTTCTTGGAGAATTGACCTCTATCATTATGTAATGGACTCCTTTATCCCTGACAACTTTCCTTGCTCTGAAGTCTTCTCTGTATGAAATTAATATAAGTTGGGAGCAGTGGTTCACGCCTGTAATCCCAGCATTTTGGGAGGCTGAGGTGGGCAGATGACCTGAGGTCAGGTGTTCGAGACCAGCCTGGCCAACATGACAAAACCCTGTCTCCACTAAAAAAATACAAAAATTAGTCAGGCATGGTGGTGCACACCTGTAGTCCCAGTTACTGGGGAGGCTGATGCAGGAGAATCGCTTGAACCCACAGGCAGAAATTGCAGTGAGCTGAGATCGTGCCACTGCACTCCAGCCTGGGTGACAGAGTGAGACTCCATCAAAGAAACAAATAAATTAATATAACTTTATTTTGACTAATGGTAGCATGGATATCTTTCTCCATCTTTTTAAATTTATTTTCATTTTTTTTTAGAGACAGGATCTTACTATGTTACCCAGGCTGGTCTCAAACTCTTGAACCAAGTGATCCTCCCACTTCAATTCAGCCTTTCAAGTAGCTGGGATTACAGGTTTCTGCCACTGCTCCTTGCTCTCATCTCTTTACTTTTAATCAAATGTCCTTATATTCAAATATTTAAAGTGAGTTCCTTGTAGACAACATACAGCTGAGTCTTGTTTTTTACTTTATTTAATTAATTTATTTTGAGACGGAGCTTTGCTCTTGTTGCCCAGGCTGGAGTGCAATGGCACGATCTTGGCTCACCGCAACCCCTGCCTCCTGGGTTCAAGCGATTCTCTTGCCTCAGCCTCTCGAGTAGCTGGGATTACAGGCATGTGCCAACATGTCAGGCTAATTTTGTCTTTTTAGTAGAGATGAAGTTTCTCTATGTTGGTCAGGCTGGTCTCAAACTCCCAGCCTCAGGTGATCTGCTCGCGTTGGCCTCCCAAAGTGCTGGGATTACAAGAGTGAGCCACTGCACCTGGCGAGTCTTGTTTTTTGATCCACTCCCACAATATCTGTCTTTTAATTGGTATATTTAGAAAAATTTGTATTTAAAGTGAGTATTGATATAGTTGAATTAATATGCATCATATTTGTTTCTGTTCTCTCTGGCTTGATAAATTTCAGGGAAAGTTCATTTATATGGGATGGACAATCAATTTTGCTGACTTAGAGATTTTAGGAAAAGCCTCTCTATGGCCTTGATCTGAATCTTTGGAGGAGAAATTTGGTTAGTTGAAGATCCACTTTGGATCGTATTTTGTCCTCCTTTAGATCTGAGTATAACAGGTTCATTGCGAATTTATCTGGAGAAAAATAGTGAATTAGGCCAGGGTCTAGCCAGTCCCTTTACAATGGCAAAACATGATACTGCAAAGAGAAAAGGTTCTAACTCTTCCTAGGAGCAGATTTTCAGGGTTGACATCCTGCAACTCTTCCAAACAGGATCATACACATCAATAAAAATTTGTCCTTCATGTTTCTTCTCTGTCAAAGATGGAACTGGATGAGCTGGCCTTGGCTTTGAACAAATACATTGAAGTAGAGCCCTAAGCATCCAACTAAAGGTCCAGGGAACTTTAGAACTATGAGCAACATGATAAAAGCATTTTGTCTAAGGCTCTTATTTAACAGAGAAGGAAATTGCATTGAGAATCTGAACTGTTTATCTCAAATCACCATTTGGTGGAAATGCAGGAATGAGGCTTTCTGGATTTTAGATCAGGGCTTTCTAGATTCCCAGACTAATCTTGCTCTCTATTTTTGTCACCTAAAACTTCAGGGAATAAAGCTTTAGATGAAAGGCTATAGACAAAAATGAAAATGAAGAAAAATTGCTTTTTTTCAGTGCTTTCCCTCTTGCTCTGGTTACTTTTTCTTCATTTTCAGCACCACTTTTTTATTACTCTGCTGGCTCCTGTGTTTTCACATTGGCTTATCTCCAGGAAGAGAGCCTAAAAATGAATTCCTTCTAAGAATAAGTGACCTTAACCCAAAGGAATGATCTAACCTAAAGGAATAACTTCATAGCAATGAAGTTTTGACACTGGGTTACCTGGGTAAATAGTTTTTCAAGAGTTAGATGCTCTCCAAGTCTCCCTATAAATCATAGCACAGGGAAATGACTAAGATTAGCTTGCCCTCGAGGAATTACTGTCTCTTGCTCTCAGCTTGTTAGAGCTCCCACTATTTTTCTAATAGCCCTGGCTTCATATCCTGATATCCTTAAGGAGTAGGACAAAACATATTCCCCATTCAAGTCCTCAATCTTTTCCTAAAGAAGAACTACCTTTGACTTCTACTTGGGAAAAATTACAATGACCATATCAAATACTGACTTACTAATGAGAGGAATGGTGACACAGCCCAGAAGTACCTGGCATCATTATCCAACTTCTAAAAGTGGCAAATCAAAGAGAGAAGGCTTCAAAATCAGCAGGCAATAATATGCCAATCTGAGCCCTGCTCTAAACTCTAGATATCTAGATTCACAAGTTAAACATAGGCCTCCCCTTCTCTGAGCTCTTGAAAGGAAATGTCCATTCAAACCAAATGAAAAAATTCCCTTAACTATGTTCCTTTGAGGATATCATCCAACCTTGAACACTGCCTCACTCCTTTAAAAGCTTCTGCCATTTCCCATATCTTAATGTTAAATTGTTTAGTAAAGTTTATGGCATAATTTCTTCAGAGATTATCAGAAGGTTCCCAAATAACCCAGGGTAATTTAAATTCCTCATGCCTTCTCAATTTTGTAAGATATAACTGTAATCATTACAGTTCCTTAGAACTCTTGTCAAAAATAAATAAATTTAAATCTCATTATAATGAAGGCATCATTTTTCCCATAAAATTTGACTCTACTCTTCAAATTTTGATTTTCAAATTTGTATTTCCCCTAAAATTCATATGTATCAGAAGAATAATCATATGAGATTTCAGTCTTTTAATAAATGTGTTTTAAAATTGTGCTTAGAACTTGAGAGTTATGCTTAGGGAAAAAAAATCACACCCTGCTAGCATTTGCTGCCAACTATAAATTTCTACTAACTGCTTCTTTGTGGCAATGACCCAAAGCTATAGTTTTCTGCAGAAACTTTTTAGACTTGGAAACTGTCAACAATTTAGAAACAGATACATCAATGACAAAATTGATTATGTTTGTACAATAACTCTTAGCTGTTTATTACTTTTCTTTCGTACCTTGGTTAGTCATTTTAATTGGTGGCTTTTTTTTCCCCCTCACCAGACTACATGTTACAATAATGTGATATTTTTCTAAGTACTTCACACATTTGATTATTACCCTAACCTTGTGAAATAAACAAGGTAGTGTCACTATCCTTATTCTTTAGCTAAAAAGGAAAAAAAAACAAACGAAGTAAAGAGAGAGTAAAAGACTAGTCCAAAGACAGAGGGTTAGAGGGGCACCAAATACCATCATTCAAAAATAACTGATCTCAAATTTTATTAGTGACATAAAACCTTTATTTCTTCCTAGTTTCACAATATATCTACAGAGAAAGCCTACTACGTAGCTACCCTTATTCCACTTCCCAAATGCGTGCATTCTCACCCAGGCTGACTGTTCTTTTCTACTTTGCTGTTAGAAAATGGATTCCATGAGAATGAGCCATAAATACATGTCATTGGAAGGTATCAAAAATAAGTGAAAACCACAAAGAACCAGTTTCCATCCATCCCTGCCCCCTTTCCCAATGCCCACCAGGGGGAAAAAATAAAAATAGACAGGCTTGTAAGCACCCAGCTCTGGCCACAGAGCTGTTTGATTGCTTAAGCCGAGTGGTCAGACAATAGGACCAGAAAGAATGGCCGCTTCCTTCCTTCCTGTTGAGTGTTCTGCCTGAGTGAGCAAATTCAATAGCACTTTGCTTCACAGCAGCACTAGGCTCTAGCACGAGGAAAATCAACAAAGAGCCATTCTAGGGCATTTCCAACCCCACCTAAGCCAAGCCTCTGAGCTATAGAACCATGGGGGAGGGGGTGTCCAGATTCAGGTGCTCCTGGGGGCGTGCGCGTGAAAGCACACAAGCATCTAGGTTACCGCTTATATTGAGGGCCACTGTGCATTTGTAATTGTCCAGTCTAGCTGTTATCATTTTCAACTTTCTAATCCACAATTCTCTGCAATGTTTCAAAACTTTCCTGAAAGCTGGCTATTTCCTCGTGGCAACACAGTCAAAATTGGTATGGACAACTGTGATGACTCTAACTCTAGAATCATCTTAAATGCTCCTGTAATAAGTCATCCTTCTCTCCCCTCCACTGACTTTTAGATCTATGCCGAGTATGTACAATAATTTGGCCAATTTGGCAGTTAAGAACAGAAACCAGAGAAGACTTAAGACTAAGACACGTAGTTTCATGGATTATGTGTCAGACTTTCAGTGAACTTGTAGCCCTGGGCTGTGAACTTTGCAAGTGCCTCTCGGCTTTTTTCCTGTGCCTTTGGTAGGACAGGATAGCTAAATGGGGCTGGAATTGGATAGTTTTTCCCCCGGATTAATTAGGCTACAATAAAACCCCAACAGGTTAGGCTCTGGTAAAATAGTTTCTCTTGAGGGCAAGCCTTGTTAAGAAGAACAGCATGCTCTGGTATTTTTTCAAACTGATTACCTTTTCTCTCCCACTGCAAGAAGCCAGAGGGGATTTTTCCCTGATATTCACTATCAGAACCTGGTTGGGCTCCAAGAAATAAAACTCAAACTTCCACTGTGCATGTCCCCCAGAGTTTTTAACTGAGACTTGTCCACATTGAGTATCCAGAAATTTGTCAATTACAGTTCATGGTTCACACCCCGTACTGGTTCCTGCAGAAATTTGTTTGTGGGTTTTCTTATGAATATGAAAATTTATTTTATCATCATTTGTTATTGATTTAGTAACATGATTTCCACCACTGTAACATCCATGATGTTTGAGTATTTCTGGCAGTAAAAGTATATGTGGGCTGGTGCAATGGCTCACGCCTATAATCCTACCGTGTCCCGAATTGATGGGTTCTTGGTCTCACTGACTCCAAAAATGAAGCCGCAGACCCTCGTGGTGAGTGTTACAGTTCTTAACCGCAGGGTGTCTGGAGTTTGTTCTTTCCGGTGTTCGGAGTTCTTCCTTCCTCCCATCCAGAGTTGTTCATTCCTCCCGGTGGATTCGTGGTCTCGCTGGTTCAGAAAAGAAGCTGCAGACCTTTACAGTGAGTGTTACAGCTCATAAAGACAGTGTGGACCCAAGGAGCAAGCAGCAGCAAGATTTATTGCAAAGAGCGAATGAACAAAGTTTCCACAGGGTTGCCACTGCTGGTTGGGGCAGCCTGCTTTTATTCCCTTATCCGGCCCCACCCACATCCTGCTGATTGGTCCATTTTACAGAGAGCTGATTGGTCTGTTTTACAGAGTGTGGATTGGTCTGTTTTGACAGGGTGCTGATTGGTGCATTTACAATCCCTGAGCTAGACACAAAAATTCTCCACCTCACCACTAGATTAGCTAGATACAGAGTGCCGATTGGTGTGTTTACAAACCTTGAGCTAGACACAAGAGTGCTGATTGGTGTATTTACAAACCTTGAGCTAGACAGAGTGGTGATTGTGTATTTACAATCCCTTAGCTAGACATAAAGTTTCTCCAAGGCCCCACCAGATTAGCCAGTTACAGAGTGCTGATTGGTGCATTCACAAACCTTGAGCTAGAGACAGAGTGCTGATTGGTGCATTTATAAACCTTGAGCTAGACACAGAGTGCTGATTGGTGTATCTACAAACCCTTAGCTAGACATAAAAGTTCTCCAAGTCCCCATTAGACTCAGGAGCCCAGGTGGCTTCAGCGAGTGGATACCCCACTGGGGCCGCAGGTGGAGCTGCCCACCAGTCCCTAGCCCTGCCCCGGGCACTCCTCAGCCCTTGGGTGGTCGATGGGACCGGGTGCCATGGAGCAGGGGGCAGTGCTCCTAGGGGAGGCTCCGGCGGCACAGGAGCCCACGGCGGAGGGGAGGCTCAGGCATGGCAGGCTGCAGGTCCTGACCCCTGCCCCGCGGGGAGGCAGCTGAGGCCCAGTGAGAATTCCAGTGCAGTGCCCCCGGCCGGCACTGCTGGGGGACCCGGCGCATCCTCCACAGCTACTGGCCCCAGTGCTAAGCCCCTCACTGCCCGGGGTGGCCGCCAAGCCCACGCCCACCCGGAACTCGTGCTGGCCTGCAAGCGCCCGCGCAGCCCTGGTTCCTGCCCGCGCCTCTCCCTCCACACCTCCCCGCAAGCTGAGGGAGCTGGCTCCGGCCTCGGCCAGCTCAGAAAGGGGCTCCCACAGTGAAGCAGCAGGCTGAAGGGCTCTCCTCAAGCGCGGCTGGAGTGGACGCCGAGGCCGAGGAGGCACCAAACGTGGGGGAGGGCTGCCAGGGCTGCCAGCACTCTGTCATCTCTTACTAGCACTTTGGGAGACTGAGGTGGGTGGATCACCTGAGGTCAGGAGTTTGAGATCAGCCTGGCCAACATGGCAAAACCCCATCTCTGCTAAAAATACAAAAATTAGTTGGATGTGGTGGCAGGTGTCTATAATCCGAGCTACTCGAGAGGCTGAGGCAGGAGAATTGCTTGAAACGGGGGTGGGTGGGGGGGTAGGGGTGGGGGTCATGGGACAGGGAGGTGAAGGTTGCAGTGAGCCGAGATCACACCCCTGCACTCCAGCCAGAGTGATAGAGTGAAACTCTGTCTCAAAAAAAAAAAAAAAAAAAGTATATGTGTATTTTTATACTCAAGACATTTCCACAACTGGAATTTGGTGACATCCAACATTGTTATTAGAGGCATTAGAATACATTAAAACCATAATGTGGGCTGGGCACGGTGGCTCACACCTGTAATCCCGACACTTTGGGAGGCTGAGGCGGGCAGATCACCTGAGGTCAGGAGTTCGAGACCAGTCTGGCCAACATGGTGAAACCCCATCTCTACTAAAAATACAAAAATTAATGGGGCGTGGTGGCAGATGCCTGTAATCCCAGCTACTTGGGAGGCTGAGGCAGGAGAATCTCTTGAACCTGGGAGGCAGAGATTGCAGTGAACTGAGATTGCGCCATTGCACTCCAGCCTGGGGGACAAAAGCGAGACTTCGTCTCAAAAATAAACAAATAATAATAAAAAAATGTGATTAATTAGATTATTCATCTGATTGATTTGAGCCAGCACATATCTTGGATTCAAATTTGAAGATGACAGAGTCTTTATTAGGCAATTAAAGAACTTATAATGCTTTATCTTTCAATATGAAAAATCTATCTCTACATGCATTCTAATTTGTAGTCATTCACACATGAACTAAAACCCTTTATTTTATTCCATAAAAATGAGTAAGGAAAATGACTTCTAATTAATAACAAAATTTTTTAACAACCAGAAATTATATGAAGACCTTTTCAAATTTAAACTTTAAAACAACCCCTTTAAGAAGTTGCTACTATTATAGCCCTTTCATGGAGAAAACATGGGCAGCTCAGAGAGGTTACCAGAGTTATCCAAGCTCACACAACTAAGCTGGGATTTGAGCTAAGGCAACTTGACAACAGAGTCCCAGTTCTTTTTATTTTTAACAATATAAAGTATGGTTTTAAAATTTTAATTTAATTTTTAAAATTTATTTAGATGCAGTGTCTTGCTCAGTCGCCCAGGTTGGAGTACAGTGGTGTGATCTTGGCTCACTGCAACATCTTCAATCTTCCCACCTCAAACCCCCCAACCACGAATCATTTACTTAAGAATCTGATCTGATGCCCTGTCACCACCAAATACGTAAATGTGTACAGCAGTCCCCTCTTATCCACAGAGGATACATTTCAAAACCCCTAGTGGATGCCTGAAACCATAGATAGTACCAAACCCTATATATTACTATGTTTAATTCTACACATGCATAGTTATGATAAAGTTTAACTTATAAATTAAGCACTGTAAGAAACTAACAATAATAATATTAAAATAGAATCATTATAAGAAATGTGGCAGCAGCTTCTTCATCGCCAGACGCTACCTTCTCCAGTAGAAGTTATTTTTCAGTCTAAAACTATTCCTGAATCTATGTAACCATCTCTTACAGCAAATGGCTTGGGGTCACTCATTTCAGGGGCTCCCTTGCTGAAGTCTTTGTGTAGGCTCAATGCTTTCTGGTGCGACACATTGCTGTGAATAGAAACACGTTTCTGTTCATCTCTTCCACCCATAAATTTAATAATTTTTCCATCTTAACTAAGCACCTATCATGCCCTGAGGCTGTAAGTTTTGCAGTTTGAGGTGTGACAGCAAAACTAGCATAAATTTATTTTTCCTTCTTCACAATTTTGTAGATAAAAGATTAATTCCTACCATAGATCTTAGCAACTTCAGCATATAATTTTGTTTTCATTTCTTATTAAGTCAAGAACTTTCACCTTCTCACTGAAAGGAAGCACTTTACAGCTTCCCTTTGGCATATCTAAATTACCAGCATCACTATTCTTGCATTTTGGGACCATTATGAAGTAAAATAAGAATTACTTGAACACAAGCACTGTAATACCGTGACAGTCTACCTGATAACCGAGACAGCTACTAAGTGGCTTATGGGTAGGGTGAGTAGACAGCATGGATATGCTGGACAAAGGACAATTCACATCCTGAGCAGGACGAAGCAGGATAGCAAGGGATTTCATCATGCTACTAACAGTGCATAATGTAAAACTTATGAATTCTTTATTTTTGGAATTTTCCATTTAATATTTCTGGACCATGATTGATTATGGGTAACTAAAACACAGAAAGCAACACAGCAGATAAGGGGGATTACTGTATTTTCTACAAACAAGGACATTCTCTTGCATAAGCACAATAGAACCATCAAAGTCAGGAAGTTAACCTGATACATTACCACTATCTAATCCTCAGATTTCACTTAAGTTTTTCTCATTGACCCAATAATGTCTTTGTTATGAGAAATGGATCAGGTTCAGAATCACATATTGCTTTTAAATGTCAGCTCTTTTTAATCTCCTTCATTCTGGAATAGTTACTCAGTTTTTGCTTAATTTTCAAAATTTTGGCACTTTTGAAAATTATGGGCCAGTTATTTTGCAGAATATTCCTCAGTTTCAGGGTTTTCTGTTTGGGTTTTGATTGGATTCAAGTTATTAATCTGTAACAGGTGTATCACAAAGATGATGCTGTGTTCTCACTGCATCATATCCAGAGGCATACATTTATGTTCACTTTAATCTCTTGATTAAGGCGGCATCTACAGATTTCTCTGCTATGAAGTTATTTTTGTTCTTTTTTAATTAAAATAATTCTAGGAGAGGTTATTTGAAGATATGAAATATCCTTTCTTAATTAAACTTTTAGTTTATTCATTTATTATTTATATCAGTATTATCTCATAGATTTCTACTTTAAGACTTAAAATCCGCCAGGCACGGGGGCTCACGCCTGTAATCCCAGCACTTTGGGAGGCCGAGGCAGGGGGATCACGAGGTCAGGAGATCGAGACCGTCCTGGCTAACACGATGAAACCCCGTCTCTACTGAAAAAACAAAAAAGTAGCCGGGTATGGTGGCGGGCGCCTGTAGTCCCAGCTACTAGGAAGGCTGAGGCAGGAGAATTGCTTGAACCTGGGAGGCGGAGCTTGCAGTGAGCGGAGATCCTGCCACTGCACTCCAGCCTGGGTGGCAGAGCGAGACTCCGTCTCAAAAAAAGAAAAAAAAAAAGACTTAAAATCCACTACTATCATGATTTATTTCTATGTTTATTTTAGCCAGTGAAAGCTCATCTATGCTGGCTTCTATGTCCATTTGACATGGTAACATCATTTTTCGAATCACTTTTTTACTGTTTGCTACAGTTGCTTTCTGGAGCAATGGCTCTGGAATCAGCCATTTCTTCTAGGTTCTCTGGTTCCTTTGAGTGGAGAAGAATATTCAGAAGCCCAAATTCAAGTGCTAGGTGTGCTCATTGCTGTTGAGGTTTTGTTCCTATATCCTTTCACAAAATGAGGAAATATATGTATATACACTTACGGAATACCTATTTTCATTTCTACTTTTATCTCTCTACATTGAAATATATCAATTCACACCAACACCTCCAATTCGAATCCAATACCACAGAGTTAACTGTAATTTTTTCCCTTTCCTTATTTGTAACTTCATTCTTAGCAAGTAAGAGCCTATCTCAGATTATCCATTCTTTTGTCTATTTGATCAATCTGTATGCAGCCAATCTCCCATCTCCACCACAATCCCTGTCTTCACTCTTTTTATTATTTTTTATTTTTATTTATTTATTTATTTATTTTTGAAACGGAGTCTCACTCTGTCGCCCAGGCTGGAGTGCAGTGGCGCGATCTCGGCTCACTGCAAGCTCCGCCTCCCAGGATCACGCCATTCTCCTGCCTCAGCCTCCCGAGTAGCTGGGACTACAGGCACCCGCCACCACGCCCGGCTAAGTTTTTTTTTTTTTTTTTTTTTTTTGAGGAGTCTCGCTCTGTCACCCAGGCTGAAGTGCAGTGGCGCGATCTCCGCTCACTGCAAGCTCCTCCTCCTGGGTTCACACCATTCTCCTGCCTCAGCCTCCCAAGTAGCTGGGACTACAGGCGCCCGCCACCACATCCAGCTAATTTTTTGTATTTTTAGTAGAGACGGGGTTTCACCGTGTTAGCCAAGATGGTCTCGATCTACTGACCTCGTGATCCACCCGCCTCTGCCTCCCAAAGTGCTGTGACTACAGGCGTGAGCCATCGTGCCTGGCCGTAATTTTTTTATATTTTTAGTAGAGACAGGGTTTCACCGTGTTATCAGAACCCAACATCTGCCTGGGACACCTCTCCACGTGGAAAACCTCCTCATCTACCTCAGCTCCAAAACTTCTCCAGGACTTTTCTCCACATGGATAATTTTATCACCTTGCTTGGACTCTACACCTCACACCAAGCTGAACATTCCTCTTGCCCCACAATACGTAGATGCCCTCATCACCACACTTGGGCTAAACAAGCTAGCCAGCCTAACATGAATACCCTTCCTAACACTGACACCCAACAGCAGGTCACCCCATGTGTGAATGCCTTCTTCACCCTGTGCTATGGCGTGAATGTTTGTGTCCCTCCAAAATTCATATTGAATTTGAGACTCAGTCTCGAATGTAATAGTAATAAGAGATGGAGCCTTGAGGAAGTGGTTAAACCATGAGGGCTCCTCTCTTATTTGAATGCGATTAAGGTAAGAAACTTGGTTTTTTACCCTTCCTTCTGCCATGTGGAGAGACAGCAACAAGATGCCTTTTTAGCTGGAGAGAGCAGCCCTCAACAGACACTGAATCTGCTGGTGCCTTCATCTTTGACTTCCCAGTCTCCAGAACTGGGAAATAAATTTCTGCTCTCTATTAATTATTTAATCTCGGGTATTTTATGATAGCAACACAAATGGACTCTGACAATCACATCAGACCCTTTTCCTGCAGGAGGGCTTTTTCACACTAGATCCTGGTTCTTATCCACTCCAGGAGCAAGGAGGAAAATGAGCCTATTACACTGAATCCACATTCTAATTTCATTTGTAAGTATTTGTACCTTGCATGATAAATAAAAGCTACTATTAAATCTACCTGCCCAGGAAAAGAGAGAAGATTAAGTAACTCATTTTACCCTGATTTCAGAGATACCCTAATCAAAATAATGCAAGTTACAGAATACGTTTCCCAGTCATTCCATCTTTCCGATCTTGCCCATCTTTTCTGGGACATGATATCTATCTCTTTGAGTAGCTTCTGTAAAGCATCAGACAGATACAGACTTAATGAGCAGGACAAATTCCATTTTATTCTGACAGAAAATGCTGAAGCATTCACCCTTTTAGGCTCTTAACTGCCTTAGTCTCTGCTAGCATAGAGGATGAATTCCTTTCGTGGTAAGCTCTGCTCTATGCATAGAAAGACATCACTTTTAAATCAGCCTCCAATATTATCATAATAGCTAATCGTTTCATTTATGCCACTTTGTGCTCCCAACTAATTTAAAAGTTTCAAGAACCACATTGTATTCATCTTTGTATGTGTAGTGCTGAAACAACATAAGCACTTAATAAATTTTTAATGAATGATTGGATAACTGAGTAAATGAGTGAACAGAAGGAGCTATAAAATGAAACTTCTTTCAACCCTCATCGTAATGCAAAACAATGAAGGCTTCATAACCAAGCTATCAGCATACATGTAAATACACACACGCACACACACATACATACAAATATCCTATTTTGTTCACCAATACATGCTGCTATAAAGGACAAGCATTCTCATATTTCTTATGAAGGAACCAGGGGTGACATGTGAGTCATTATAATTTCAAAGCCTCTTCCTTTTTAATCTTTTAAACATCTATCTATGGTTATAAGACAAAGAGTCTCTTTTCGTGTCTTCCCCTGTTCCATATCATACATTAGAGCATATAATATCATCTTCAAGATTTGAGGTTGTGGATAAGCAAGAATTTATGTTTTTGCTTTAACAGACACACATAAACAGTAGATGAATAGAGATGTGCTAATTCTGATCACAAATCTATCAACACCTATGATCTGCATTCAGTAAATATATAGTTCTAAACCATATACATCTGTTTCTATCTATGCAGAATTTTATAATTCTAATACTCACTACAAAACCTCTACTAATATCCAATATAATTTGAATAGCCAGTGAGTGCTGAACAAGAAATCTTTTAGGTCGGGCACTACAGCTCATGCCTGTAATCCCAGCACTTTGGGAGGTCAAGGCAGGTGGATTGCCTGAGCTCAGGAGTTTGAGACCAGCCTGGCCAACACGGTGAAACCCCGTCTCTACTAAAGATACAAAATTAGCCGGGCATGGTGGTGCATGACTGTAATCCCAGCTATTTAGGAGGCTGAGGCAGGAAAATTGCTTGAACCCGGGAGGCGGAGATTGCAGTAAGCCAAGATCATGCCATTATACTCCAGCCTGGGCAACAAGAGCAAAACTCCATCCAAAAAAAAAAAAAACTATCAGCAAAGTATTACTAGTAAAAAACATTAAATCAGCTGTCTTAAATATGTTTAATTTAGATAAAAGAAACTATGGACAAAAATCAGGAGAACACTATATTAACAAACAAGAAATGCCAATTTAGAGATAGAAATTACAAAAAAAAATTAAAAGAATTAAATAGAAATTCTGAAGCTGAAAAATACAATCACTGGAATTAGAAATTCACTAGATGGTTTTAACAACAGATTTGAACAAACGGTAGAAAGAAGCAGCAAATTTGAAGATAAGGAAATAAACAATTTCCAGATTGAGGAGCAGATAGAAAATTTAAAAATGGGCCCGGCACAGTGGCTCACGCTTGTAATCCCATCACTTTGGGAGGCCGAAATGGGCAGATCACCTGAGGTTGGGAGTTCGAGATCAGCCTGATCAACATGGAGAAACGCTGTCTCTACTAAAAATACAAAATATTAGCCGGGCATGGTGGTGCATGGCTGTAATTCCAGCTACTCGGGAGGCTGAGGCAGGAGAATCGCTTGAACCCGGGAGGTGGAGGTTGCAGTGAACTGAGATCGCGCCATTGCACTCCAGCCTGGGCAACAAGAGTGACACTCCGTCTCAAAAAAAAAAAAAAAAGAAAGAAAGTAAGAAAGAAAATTTAAAAATGAACAGAATCTGAGAACCTCTAAGACACAATAAAACATACAAACATACGGCTGGGCACAGTGGCTCATGCCTGTAATCCCAGCACTTTGGGAGGCCGAGGCAGGCAGATCACAAGGTCAGGAGATTGAGACCATCCTGGCAAACATGGTGAAACCCTGTCTCTACTAAAAAATACAAAAAATTAGCCAGGCATGGTGGCAGTCACCTGTAGTCCCAGCTACTTGGGAGACTGAGGCAGGAGAATGGTGTGAACCCAAGAGGCAGAGCTTTCAGTGAGCAGAGATTGCACCACTGCAGTCCAGCCTGGGCGACAGAGTGAGACTCCATCTCAAAAAAAACATACAAACATATACATCATAGAAGTTCTAGAAGACGAAGAGAGAAAGAGGCAGAAACAATTTTGAGGAAATAATGGCCAGTACCTCCTAAATTTGATGAAAGACATGAAAGTCTGCATCCTAGAAACTCAACAAACTCAGGACGGAATAAATGTAAAGAGGGCCACATCAAGACATCAATTATAGTCAAATTGTTAAAAGCCAAAGAGAAAGACAGAATCCTAAAAGCAGCAAGAGAGAAGGAACTCATTATGTACAAGGGGCCCTCAATAAAAATCACACTGATTTCCCATTAGAAATCACAGAGGCCAGAAGGCACTAAGAAAACATACTTAGTGTGCTAAAAGAAAACAAAACCGTCAACCAGGAATTCTGTATCTGACAAAACTATCCTTCAAGAATGAAGGACAAATTAAGAGATACCCAGATAAATAAATGCTAAGAAGGTTTTTCTTATTAGTGGGCCTGTCCAACAATGAGTGCTGAAGGGAGTCCCTCAGGATGAAATAAAAGGACACTAGACAGTAACTCAAAGCCATATGACAAAATACAGAACATTAGTAAAGAAAACTACTTAGGTATATTTAAGTCTGTATTCTTCTATATTTGGTCAGTAAATTTATTTTTTTCTTTATGACTTAAAAGGCAAATGCATTAAACAATAATTATAAATCTATGCTAATGGCCACACAATATATTAAGATGTAATAACAATTTTAATATATTGCTACAATAACAATATAAAAAGGGGAAGAGGCAGAGACATATAGGATCAGAATGTTCCATACCATTAAAACTAAGTTAATATTTATTCAAGCTAGTTTGTTATAAGTTTAAGATGGTAGTTGTAAAGCCCAAGGTAATCACTAAGAAAATAACAAAAATAAACAGAAAATGAAAGAAGAAAATAAAAATAGTACATTACAAAATATCAAATAAGTGAAAAAAAGCCAGTAATGGAGGAATTGAACAAAAAACAGATAGACATATAGAAAACCAATAACTAAATGTCAGAAGTTAGCCCTTCCTTACCAGCAACTAGTTTAAACATAAATAAACTCTCCAATTAAAATGAAGAAATTGTCAGAATATATGTTATTTTATTTTTATTTATTTTTTTTTTTTGTGGCAGGGTCTGGCTCTGTCACTCAGACTGGAGTGCAGTAGCATGATCACGGCCCACTGCAGCCTCAACCTCCCTGTCTCAGATGATCCTCCAACCTCAGTCTCCCAAGTAGCTGGGACTACAGGTACGCACCACCATGCCTGGCTAATTTTTTAATTTTTTGTAGAGGCAGAGTTTCA
Organism: Homo sapiens; assembly: GCF_000001405.40. Classification (NCBI taxonomy): domain Eukaryota; kingdom Metazoa; phylum Chordata; class Mammalia; order Primates; family Hominidae; genus Homo; species Homo sapiens. The sequence continues at coordinate 80,288,093 of NC_000013.11, forward strand.
CCATGTTGTCCAGGCTGGTCTCAAACTCCTGGGCTCAAGCGATCCACCCACTTTGGCTTTCCAATGTGCTGGGATTACAGGCATAAACCACCACACCCAGCCAGCAGAATAGATTTTAAAAATCTACCTATGATTATGTTCAAAAGACTCATTTATTTATTTATTTTGAGACAGTTTTGCTCTTGTTGCCCAGGTTGGAGTGCGATGGCATAATCTCTGCTCACTGCAATCTCCACCTCCCAGGTTCAAGTGATTCTCCTGCCTCAACCTCCCAAGTAGCTGGGATTACAGGCATGTGCCAACACGCCTAGCTAATTTTTTGTATTTAGTAGAGATGGGGTTTCACCATGTTGGTCAGGAGGGTCTCAAACTCCTGACTTCAGGTGATCCACCTGCCTCAGCCTCCCAAAGTTCTGGGATTACAGGTGTGAGCCACCAACGCCTGGCCTAAGAGACTCATTTTAGATACAAAGACACAAAGAGGTTGAAAGCAAAAACATGTAAAATGATACTACATGCAAAGAGTAATGACAAGTGAGATGGAGTGGCTATATGATTACCAGACAAAATAGGTTTTCAAGTCAAAAAAGATTAAAAGAGACAAAGGATGACATTATGTCTTGATAAAAGATACAATCAATCAAAAAGATGTAAAAAAAAAAAATTAAAGTATGTACCTAACTACTAAGCCCAAATATATGTAAAACAATAACTGGCAAAATTGAAAATATAAATAGATACTTTTACGATAATAGTTGGAAGTTTAAATACCCTATTTCAATAATGAATAGAACAACCAGACAGAAGATCAATAAAGAAACAGAGAATTTCTAATAGGTTTACTATAATTTTAGAGCCTACAGACATACCAAACAGTCCACCTAAAAAAGTACCATATACATTTTCTTAAGTACTCATGGAACAGTATCCAACATAGATCATATGTTAGGCCACAAAACAAATTTAAGTAAATTTTAAAAGACTGAAGTTAAACGAAATATATTTTTAACTACAATGGAATGAAACTGAATTCAGTAACAGAAATAAAGTGGAAATCTCACAAATATGTGGAAATTAAACAATGTATTCCTAAACAACCAATGAGTCAAAGAAATCACAAAGGAAGCTAGAAAATATCTTGAGATAAGTGAAAACAACAACACGACATATCAAAACTCATAGGACACAGCAAAAGCAGTACTCAGAGGGAAATTTATATGACTACAATGAAAAATAAAAATATCTCAAATTGATTCCCTAACTGTATACCTTGAAGTACTAGAAAAATAAGAGCAAACTAAACTCAAAGCTAGCAGAAGGAAGGAAATAACAAAAATTAGAGTGGAAATAAATGAAATAAGATAGAAAAACAATAGAAAATCAATAAAATCAAAAGTTTGTTCCTTGAAAAGATCAACAAAATGGAAAAACCTTTAGCTAGAATGACGATTAATAAAAATGAGTAGATTCAAATTACTGAAATTAGAACAAAAAGAGGAGACATTACAATTAACTTACAAAAGTAAAAAGGGTCATAAGAAAATACTGTGAACCATTGGCAGTTGCATGACAAGTTAGATAACCCAAATAAAACAGACAAATTCTTAGAAATGCATGAAATAAAGGGACTGTCTCAAGAAGAAATAGAGGACCAGGCAGGGTGACTTATGCCTGTAATCCCAACACTTTGAGGGGCGAAGGTGGGAGGATCACTTGAGGCCAGGAGGTCAAAAGCAGCCTGGATAACATAGTGAGACCTCATATTTACAAAAAAAAAAAAAAAAAATTTAGCTGGGGGTGGTGGTGTGCACCTGTGGTCCTAGTTACTCAGGAAGTTAAGGCAGGAGGATCTCTTGAGACTGGGAGGTCAAGGCTACAGTGAGCTCTAATTACACCACTGCCTCCAGCCTGGGTGACAGAGTAAGACTCTCTCTAAAAAAAAAGGAGAAGAAATAGACAATCTAAATAGGCCTGAAAAAATCAAATCAGTAATCAAAATCAGTAATCAAAAATCTCACCCCCCCCCAAAAAAAAAAAAAAAAAAAAAGGCTCAGGACCACAGACTGTTTCACTAATAAATTCAACCAAACACTCGAGGAATTAACACCACATAAATTCTTCTCAAACGCTTTCAAATAATTGAAGAGGAGATACTTTGTAATTCCTCTTTGTAATACTTTGTAATACTTTGTATTACTTTGCAATACTTTGTATTACTTTGCAATACTTTGTAATACTTTGTAATACTATGAGACCAGCATTACCCTTTTTACAAAGACCAGTATTACTTTGTAATACTATGTAATACTTTGTAATACTATGAGACCAGCATTACCCTGATACCAAAACAACAACAAAAACACTACAAGAAAAAAAGAAAAGATATCCTTTATGGAGATAGATGCAAAAATACTTAATGAAACAACAGCAAAGTTAATTCAGCTGCATATTAAAAGGACTATACACCATTATCAAGTGGGATTTATCCCAGAATACATGGTTATTTAACACACTAAAATCAATGTAATATACTATATCAATATAATGAAGAAAAACAAAAACACATCATTTCAATTGATGCAGAAAAAAGTACTTGACAAAATTCAACAACTTTGTATGGCAAAAACGCAGAATAAACTATGACCAGAAGGAACTTCCTTAAAATGGTGAAAGTCAGATGTGAAAAACCCACAGCTAACATCATATTCAATGTTGAAAAACTGAAAGTTTTTCTCATAATATCAGGAACAATACAGGATGTCCACTTTCACTACATCTATTCAATATAATACTTGAAATTCTACTCAGAGTAATTAGGCAAGAAAAAGAAATAAAAGGCATTCAAATTGGAAAAAAAGTAGTTAAAACTAATTCTATTCATAGATAGCTTAATCTTATATGTAGAAAGTCCTAAAGAATGTACAAGAAAAAAATGTTAAAGCTAATAAACATCTTTAGCAAAGTCGTAAGATACAAAATCAACATGCAAAAATCAGTTCGTATACCATTGGTGAACAATCCAAAAAGGAATTTTTTTTTTTTAAATCCACATACAACCAGGCACCATGGCTCATGCCTATAATCCCAGCACATTGGGAAGCTGAGGCAAGAGGATGGCTTGAGCCCAGGAATTCAAGACCAGCCTGGGCAACATAAATGAGACTCTGTCTCAAAAATAATAACGATCATTATAATGAAATAAAATAAAAATATATGTACAATAGAATAAATATTCAAGAATAAATTTAACCAAGAAGGATAACAACCAGCATATGAACGCTATAAAACATTGCTTATAGATATTAAATAAGACCTAGAAAATTGGAAAGACATCCCATATTTATGAATTAGAAGACTTAGTATTATATTAGCATGACAATATTATCCAAAAAGATATACAAATTCAGCCTGGCGCGGTGGCTCACGCCTGTAATTCCAGCACTTTGTGAGGCTGAGGCAGGTGGATCACTTAAGGCCAGGAGTTCAAGACCAGCCTGGCCAACATGGCAAAACCCCATCTGTACTAAAAGTACAAAATTTAGCCAGGCATGGTAGCGCATGCCTGTTAATTCCAGCTACTAGGGAGGCTGAGGCAGGAGAATTGCTGGAACCCAGGAGGCAGAGGTTGCAGTGAGCCAAGATCGCGCCACTGTACTCCACGCTTGGTGACAGAGCGAGACTTCATCTCAAAAAAAAAAAAAAAAAAAGATATACAGATTCAATATAATATGTATCAAATCCCAAAAGCATATTTTCAGAAATTGAAAAATTCATCTTAAAATTTGTATGAAACTTCAAGGGACCCAAAATAACCAAAACAATATTAAACAGATGACCAACATTGGAGGCCTCACAATTCCTGTTTTCATAATTTGCTGCAAAACTAAAACTACAGTAATCAAAATAGTGTGATACTGGCATAAAGATAAACATATACACCAACAGAATAGCGTTGAAAGCTGGAAATAAACTCCCATATCAATGATCAATTGATTTTTAACAATGTTGCTAATATCACACAATTGGGAAAAGAATTGTCTCTTTAACAAAGAGTGCTAGAAACACTGGATAGTCCTAGGAAAAATAAAGGTGGTTGGACCTCTACCTTATACCACGCACAAAAATTAACTCAAAACTGATCAAAGACTTAAATCGAAGAGCTAAAACTATGAACTCTTAGAAGAAAGCATAAGGGCAAATATGCATGGTCTTGGATTTGGCAATGGCTTCTTAAACATGATGCCAAATCCACAGAAAACAACAGAGTGAAAAACACAGCCCATGGCTTGGGAGAAAATATTTGCAAATCACATACCTGATAAAGTTATAATATCCAGAATATGCAGACTCCCACAACTCAACAACAAAAAGATGAATGTCACCCTCTCAACATTTGATGTGCTCAACAACCAGTATGCTCTACTGAGCTTATATGCCCAGAGCTTTTTTGAGGTTTCATTTCTAGGCATGACTGATTAAATCACTGGCTACATGATTGAACTCAGTCTCCAGTCTGTCTCCCTTTCCTGGAGGTTCCATTTGGAATGTCCCAACCTTTTTATACACATTTCTGGTGTAGCCAGACTCTCTCTTGAAACTATCAGAAGGCGGCCGGGCCTGATGGCTCACGCCTGTAATCCCAGCAATCTGGGAGGCCCAGGTGGGTGGATCACCTCAGGTCAGGAGTTCAAGACCAGCCTGACCAACATGGTGAAACCCCGCCTCTACTAAAAATACAAAAATTAGCAGGGTGCAGGCCGGGCGCGGTGGCTCATGCCTGTAATCCCAGCACTTTGGGAGGCCGAGGCAGGTGGATCATGAGGTTAGGGGTTCGAGACCAGCCTGACCAACATGGTGAAACCCCGTCTCTACTAAAAAATACAAAAATTAGCTGGGCATGGTGGTGTGTGCCTGTAATCGCAGCTACTCAGGAGGCTGAGGCAGGAGAATTGCTTGGACCCGGGAGGCAAAGGTTGCAGTGAGCCGAGATCAGTCCACTGCACTCTAGCCTGGGCGACAGAGCAAGACTCCGTCTCAAAAGAAAAAAAAAAAAAAAGAAACCATCAGAAGGCTCACTAAGAGTGACTGCATTAGCATAAATTCAGGTATGGTTATTGGGCCTTCTTATAAATAACAAATGACACTCCTCTTACTGAGAAGACTCTAAGAGTTTGTATTTAAAATCTCTACACCTGTGCCACATGAAACCACAACAAAAAACAAATATTTTTACTTTTTTCCTCTTTTTTTCTTTTCTCTCTCTTTCTTTCTTTTCTTTCCCTTCTTTCCTTCCTTCACTTCCTGTCCTTTCTTCCTTCTGTCCCTTCCTTCACTTTCTTTCTCTTTTCTTTTCTCTTCTTTTCTTTTTTTTTCTTTTCTTTTCTTTTTTTTTTTTTTTTTTTTTGAGATGGAGCCTCACTCTGTTGCCCAGGCTGGAGTGCAGTGGCATGATCTCAGCTCACTGCAACCTCCACCTCCCAGGTTCACACCATTCTCCTGCCTCAGCCTCCAGAGTAGCTGGGACCACAGGCGCCCACCACTGCTCCTGGCTAATTTTTTGTATTTTTAGTAGAGACGGGGTTTCACCGTGTCAGTCAGGATGGTCTCGATCTCCTGACCTCGTGATCCACTTGCCTCGGCCTCCCAAAGTGCTAGGATTACAGGCATGAGCCACCGTGCCCAATCTCTTTTCTCTTCTTTTCTGACAAGGTCTGGGATCATGGCTCACTGCAGCCTTAACGTCCCAGGCTCAAGTGATCCTCTGACCTCACCCCAAGTAGCTGGGACCACAGGCACACACCACCATGCCCAACTAATTTTTAAATTTTGGTAGAGATGGAGTCTCCCTATGTTGCCCAGACTGGTCTCTAACCCCTGGCCTCAAGCAATCCTCCTGCCTTGGCCTCCCAAAGTGCTGGATAACAGGTGTGAGCCACTGTACCCAGTCTAGATATTTTTATTATACCACATATGTACCACATATGTAAGCAAGTACTTGCAACACTATAAACTAATTCTATGTGATAGAATTATGTTCAGAACCCAAGTCGTTCATTTCTGATCACCCTTGATAGCTGATCAGGTTCCTCATCCTCCACCATCCCCGCTCCCCCATGATGTCTGATCATCCTGGCCTATCTTAAGCAAGAATTCTGTTAGGTTGGTTTAGCCAAAATCCCCCTGACTCTTAATAGTAGCTCTTAGTAATTTTCTACCCACTGACTCTCAGTCTGTTCCTTTGTTTCAATTCCTGCTTGCACATGCTGTATTTGGAGTTGAGCCCAATTTCTATCTCCCACTCTTGTGGTCCCTATGCACAGGACTATCTAATTGATCATGAATAAAGTCTGCCTTATACTTACCAACATTTGTGCTTTGATAAGTATAATTGAATAACTTTTGCTTTAACAAGGCCCTTGAAATTATGTACAACCATCTCTAAGACAGTCTATTTTATTAGACAGGGCTTCATTCTGTTGCCCAAGCTGGTGTGATCACAGCTCACTGTAGTCTTGAACTCCTGGGTTCAAAGGATCCGCTCACCTCAGCATCCCAAGTAGCAGGCTAATTTTTTATGGTTTTTTGGTAGAGATGATGTCTCTTTATGTTGCTGAGGCTGGTCTTGAACTCCTAGCCTCAAGTGATCCTCCAACCTTAGCCCCCTAAAGCACTGGGATTACAGGTGTGAGGCAATGTGCCCAACCAACTTTCTGGCTGTTTTTGAAAATGATGTTTATCAGGTTAACAGGAGACTTCAGACCTGAGCGTTATTTGTCTCCATTTATTGTGAATCCCGGTATTTGTTATGTACAGTTCATTGTATTGGAAAATGAGACAATCAAGTGTGTTCTCAGGATGAAAATAAGCACAGTTGGGGAGGACAGACAATACTATGTCAAGTTAGTGAAAGTGCAGAGAATTGGGAATAAATCAAATAATATGTGTTTTGTACTGTTAGTAGCAAGACAATAATCCCCTTTTTGATACTTTCTTAGTTAATTTTTTTGTGTGTATTTTTGTTATTCTGTCTCTTAGAATTAGCCTAATTTTAGAAATAAAAGAATTGAGACAGAGTTCAAGGACATGCCAAGTCACAGTCAATATTTCCTTGAGGGGTTTGTACCAAGTAGATGGATACAAAGTTCAAACAATGATCTCTGCTTTTACTTCAAAACTCTGTTTGCCAGTTTTCTTTTATTATTATTATTATTATTTTATTTTATTTTTTCTTTCATGATGGAGTCTTGCTCTGTTGCCCAGGCTGGAGTGCAGTGGTGCAATCTCGGCTCACTGCAACCTCTGCCTCCCGAGTTTGAGCAATTCTCCTGCCTCAGCCTCCTGAGTAGCTGGGATTACAGGTGTACACCACCACGCCCAGCTAAATTTTTTTTGTATTTTTAGTAGAGACAGGGTTTCACCATGTTGGCCAGGCTGGTCTTGAACTCCTGACCTCGTGATCTGCCTGCCTTGGCCTCCCAAAATGCTGGGAGTACAGGTGTGAGCCACTGTGCCTGGCCCTGTTTACTAGTTTTCTATATGCTGAATTAATGCTTTTTTCCCTAAGTTTCATTTTTATTCTCCTTCAGAAAATGTGACTAGGATTGTATCTTAATATTTTTCATGTTGAATGACAGCATTTACTAATTTTCTTTTTTTGTTTGTTTGAGATGGAGTCTCATTCTGTTGCCCAAGCTGGAGTGCAGTGGTGCGATCTCAGCCCACTGCAACCTCTACCTCCTGGGTTCAAGCAATTCTTGTGTCTCAGCCTCCCGAATAGCTAGCATTACAGGCCCCACCACCCCCACCCAACCACGCCTGGCTAATTTTTGTATTTTTTAGTAGAGGCAAGGTTTCACCATGTTGGCCAGGTTGGTCTTGAACTACTGACCTCAAGTGATCACCTGCCTCGGCGTCCCAAAGTGCTGGGATTACAGACGTGAGCCACTGGGCCTGGCCTACTCATTTTCAAAAAGGGTGACACAACTTCTAACAATTACTGATCAGGTAAAGTCAGATATATTCTATACTTTCATTAGAAGGCTGAATTTGGAGATAAAGCTGGGAGAAAAATGAGATTTTTCCTGTAGCTCACTGGCTAATAAATACACCTCTAGGTAGAGGGAGTCACAGCAAGTATTCTGGCCCTGCTTTTAGTTAATTAAAAGCTAGACTACACATACTAACTATTCGCAATTGGGCTATCTTCTTTGCACTGCTGTTTACTTAATTGTAAATATGAGAGTACACTGGTATTTTGCTTTACAAATGGAATATCAGAAGTATTGCATTCATTTAGTCTGATTGATTTGTGCCCTATGAAACAGATTGAAACATTGGGTAGAACTAAATCAGGGTATTAATATTTGTCTACTATCTTTTAATTGAAATGATTTTCTGTTAACACTTTGTTTCCCGTATTCTATTAATAATGAAGGAAAAGACCGGGTGCGGTGGCTATCGCCTGTAACCCAGCATTTTGGGAGGCGGAGGCGGGTGGATGACCTGAGGTCAGGAGTTTGAGACCAGCCTGGCCAACATGGTGAAACACCTGTCTCTACTAAAAATACAAAAATTAGCCGGGCCTGGCGGTGGATGCGTGTAATCCCAGCTGCTTGGGAGGCTGAGGCAGAAGAATCACTTGAATCCATGAGGTGGAGGTTGCAGTGAGCTGAGATCATGCCAGTGCACTCCAGCCTAGGCGAGAAGTGAGACTCAAAATAACAAGAAGGAAGGGGGCGGGGAGGGGGAGGAGCGGGAGGAGGAGGAGGGAGAGGGAAAAAAAACACTTCCTTTATTTTGGTAAAATGTTTAACATTTTTCTTCTTTCCTTTCCCCAGCCCTCAAAAGTAGTAATTCTATCCCTTTCATGACTTGTAAGAGCTCTCCTGAGGCATTCATACGCATACTTTGAAGGTCTTGTATGTTATTGTTCATTAGTGATTCTTATAATAATTAAATAATTTTCCTAAATCCAAATTTTACTTTTGACTAACCTATTTGGCTCAAATGTGTATATACACAGGAGTTTTCACAGGGTCCCCTATTTCTCAAAATCAGCAGTGCTTTGTTGGATGCTCTGCAAGAGGCATTCAAGGTTAAAAGTCAGCATGACTCTCCCAGAGAACCTTGTACCTTCATACCCACCCCCATTCCAGCCATGGAGGAGTTTCCTCCTCTCACTTCCCCCAGAGAAGGAAGCTCAACAATATTAGCACACAAATGCAAAATAACCAGCCAGGCCTCTTCCTAGGAATACAAATTAGGGGCAGGTAGTTGAAGAGCTTAGAAAGCTGAAATTGTGTACTATGAAAGGATGAATAGATGGGAGACTGAAAGTGGGGTGAAGTGTTCAGCTTTTGTCATTTAAAGTGATGTCTTTAACTCTTTGCCTTCTAGAGACTACCCTTTACCAAATAATAGAGCTTTACAATCAAGAGTTCCTGGGTTAAAAAAAAAAAAAAAGATATTGAGCTTTCTTTTAAAAATTAGATATTGGTTTCACTAGGGCATAAGTCTGACAAAAAATACAGTAGAGAGCTTACGGCATTGAATAACTTATTAGCAGATCTTTTAATTTTTTGAAAAAGGGAGTCTATATTAGCTGACTAGTGCATTTTCTTTTCTTCTTTTGGCCGCCACTTTTAGCTAAATGCAAATCATGTTTTACTACATTTACATTTGGCCAAGTTTTAACTTGAGAGGTGTGTTTGGCTGAAAGCTTGAATTTTATTTTCTAATTAGATCTATCTTATTTAGTAGTCAATGGCATAGTCTTGCCACAGTTTTTCTGTAATAATTATAAGAGAATGCCCAAGCAAGTCATTTTCTAGATTGCTGAAGCTTTGGATATGTATCCTGGATATCCAGAAAGTAACATTGTGGGCAGAGTAATCAGCACTGTGCACGCACATTCTCAAGCTAAAATCTGAATAGTTCAGCATGACGCTGCATCAGTGGTTAAAAACCAAACTTAAGGGCAGGAAGATGCATTCGTTTCTTATTATAATACAACAGAGGAACACAGAAGTATAAAGTTAACCAATAAAACTCAGGGTTTCTACAACAACAGCGTGTTTTGACCTCGAGCTAAAATTTTTGTTTGGTTTGCTTTTATTAAGAGAGCATTTCCTAGCTGGGCATAGTGGCACATGCCTGTAGCCCCAGCTACATGGGAGGCTGAGGCAGGAGGATCACGTGAGCATAGGAGGTCAAGTAAGCCATGACTGTGCCTCTGCACTCCAGCCTGGGTGACAGAGCAAGACTCTGTCTCAAAAAAAAAAAAAAAAAAAAAAAGTATTTCTTCTTTTGGAGAGACCAATCTTTGCTCTGATAGAGATCATAAATTATGTACTATATTTATTAAATACCTTCTGTGTACCCTTCAACCAGACTTGTGCTCATCTTTGGTAGGACAATTTGGACAAACAAGTTATAATTGCTGAAGAAGATATAATGTCACTGAAGCACATAGAAAGTATGTAAGATATAAATCCTAAGATATATCCAAAATTATTTGGGGGGTGGAGGGGGGGGCGGGGACAGAGTTTCACTCTTGTTGCCCAGGCTGGAATCCAATGGTGCTATCTTGGCTCACTGCAACCTCTACCTCCTGGGCTCAGATGATTATCCTTCCTCAGCCTCCCGAGTAGCTGGGATGTCACCATGCCTGGCTAATTTTTGTATTTTTAGTAGAGATGGGGTTTCACCATGTTGGCCAGGCTGGTCTTGAGCTCCTGGCCTCAGGTGATCCACCCACCTCGGCCTCCCAAAGTGCTGGGATTATAGGCATGAGCCACCGCGCCCAGCCTCAAAATTGTTTTTTATAGAATGGTATTGGGGGAGGGTAGCTGGGAGATAAACAAGTATTAGAGGATGTGGGCAGCCATGCATATAATGAGTTTTTACATCTATTATGCCATTATATTTACAGTATTTCCACTGTATAGGAGGAAAAGCTCAGAAAGTTTTGGTTTTTTGCTTTGCTTTTATAATGACACTTTTAACAAAAGCCAATCATTATCTTGTACAATTTTTTCTCCTATTCCTCCAGTGATGTATAGTTTGTTGAGGACAAAATGTCCTTTCCTTTCTCAGTGTCTTGAATAGCACTGTTTACAATATTAGTGCTTAAAAATATCTTTAGGACAGGGTATGGTGACTCACACCTGTAATCTCAGCACTTTGGGAAGCTGAGACAGGAAAATAGCTTGAGATCAGGAGTTAGACCAGCCTAGTCAACATAGTGAGATGCTGTCTCTACTTTATATATAAATAAATAACAAAACAAACAAAGAAATAAAATACTTTTAGTGGCTTAAGGTTACCACACCAAATCCTTGTTTCCTCAGAGATAACAGAGAGGTATTTATCTATCATCTTTGATTTCTGCTCTGAAATCTATCAATACTAAAATCCACATATAAAATCTAGGAAATGATTATTTATATCAGATATAGTTCTAAGAAAGACACTCTCTGAGAATTGTCATGATTTTGTCGAGGGATTTCCCTAGAAGTCTCCTGTGAAGTCTCCTTCTCTTTAGGTTGACATTGGGATTGGAGAGTGGAAGCCTCTCACCATCCTTCTTGTTTTGTTTCTTGATTATTTTTGACATTTTTAAAGTAAACTTGTAAAATCATGATGAATACAAGGAAAATAGGATGGAAGTTAGCCAATAAAGACTTAAATTTTGGAATTAGATAAAGTTTGAATAGAAAGAGGTTCTGCCATTTATCACTAGCTGTGTTATCTTCAGCATTCCCTGGTATCTTTGAGCTTTGGTATATTATCTACAGATGAAGAATAATCATATCTACTTCACAACAGGTTTTGAGGATTAAATGGAATCCTGTTTGTAGGTAGCCTAGCCTAGTACCTGCTTAGAGTAGCTGTTCAATCCATGTTAAACCATGTTCTTCCAGAGAATGAACAGAGTTTGCTTATTGTAGCTGGGTTATTCATAAGGAGGATGGCTTTAGGATGGGTAAATCCAGGAGCTCAACCTACTAACAATGTGAAACTAAATTGGGTTTTGAGGAGGAAGCTGTTGAAGGGTGCACACCGAAGAGTGAAATTCAGAAAAGACCAAGGTAGACTGGTTTGAATAAGAGGCTCTCTGCTATTAACCCATTTTCTCTCTCAAACCCCTAGTTCTGCCTTTCAGTAGGCTATAAACTCTTAGAGGACTCTATCTCATTCCTGGATACTGAACTTCTATATCCAAGAGTTTCTGGACTCTGGATGTTCTACATATATCTCAAACCAAACATGCCAAAAACTGAATATATAACACAAAATTACATCTAGAAAGGAGAAATAAGTTCTAGTGTTCTGTGGAACTGGAGGGTGACAGTAGTTAACAATTCCTTGTGTATTTTCAGATAGCCAGAAGAGAAGATTTTGAATGAAGAAGTGATCAATGTTTTGGGTAATAGATATGCTAATTAAATTACCCTGAGTTGATCATTACACATTGTATATATGTACCAAAATATCACACTGTACTCCATGAATATATACAATTATTATGTGTCAATTAAAAATAAATAACTGAATGTTTGAATTTCTCCATCCAAATCCACTCCACATCTTGCATTTCCTAACTTTGTGATTGGTGTTGATATGTAACCTGGAAAACTGAATTGCATCATTAACTTTATCTTTGTCAAGAACATTCAATGGGTCATTGGCTCATGTACACTCTTCTTCCTAAAGTCATTTGTTCTTCACCTTTAACATTACTCATATTTTAAACCTGTTCTTTGATGCACTCCTTAGCTTAGATACATACAATTCTCTTCACCTGAAATGCTATTCCCTTCCTTTCTCCGCCTCAGGAATAACTAGTCCTATTTCAAGAAGCAACTCCACTGTCCCCTCTGTTAAGCCTTTCTCAACCTGTTCAGTGGCAGGTTGCTCCCACTCTGTGATTCAGTAGCATCCATCTAAAGAGAAGACATTTAGAACATACTCCATACTATTGTTTATTATTAACTTTTTCATAAATGTCTCCATTTTTAAGTTATAAAACTAATCTTAATAGAAAAAAATCAAGAAAGTATTCATAGTAAATGATTTAGCAATGCATAAAGTAAAAAGTAAAAGTCCCACATATTCATTCCCGGACAAAATTACCACACCTTCTTCTTTGAAACAGAGTCTCATTCTGCTACCCAGGCTGGAGTGCAGTGGCACTATGATGGCTCATTGTAGCCTTGACCTCCTGAGCAAAATTCATCCTCCCACCTCAGTCTCCCAAGTAGCTGGGACTACAGGCGCACGCCACCACACCTGACTAATTTTTGTACGTTTTGTAAAGACAGGGTTTTGTCATGTTGCCCAGGCCAGTCTCCTACTCCTGGGCTCAAGTAATCTGCCCGCTGCAGCCTCCCAAAGTGTTGGGATTATAGGAGTGAGCCACTGTGCCCAGCCAAAATCACCACTCTTTTTTTTTTTTTTTTTTTTTGAGGTAGAGTCTCCCTCTGTCGCCCAGGCCGCAGTGCCGTGGCGGCGATTTTGACTCACCTCAAGCTCCGGCTCCCGCGTTCCCGCCATTCTCCTGCCTCAGCCTGCGGAGTAGCTGGGACTACAGGCACCCGCCACCATGCCCGGCTAATTTTTTGTATTTTTAGTAGAGACGGGGTTTCACCATGTTAGCCAGGATGCTCTCAATCTCCTGAACTTGTGATCCGCCCGCCTCAGCCTCCCAAAGTGTTGTGATTACAGGCGTGAGCCACCGCGCCCGGTCCAAAATCACCACTCTTAACAATCTGGTGTGTATCCTTCCACCCTAAATAAAGAGAAACATATACGTACACATTCACACATGTACATGAGTACAAATACACACATGTTTGTAAGAATGAGACTTGAAATACAGATGATTCTATTCTCTAGTTTTATACTTTTATATATTGCATACTATTAATTAATACTTGAATGTTTTAACTTACTCATATGGAATACATTTATATCTGGTTGGGCAATTATTTAACTTCTAACTTTTTTGCTAATTTTATGTTCTTATTAGAGTTAATGAATAAAGCTCAACAAAATTGTATTTTTATTGGGATGGAAACAGACTAATAATTCATAAAGAACATATCTTTAAAAATATATAGGCTTCTCATTCATAAATATGGTATAATTTTTCACTTGCTAAAAATCTGCTTGTATTTTTAGACACTTTGAAGTTTTCTTGATACAGGTTTTATATATTTTTATTGTCAGTGCTCAATTTATTGATATTGTGAATAGGATATTTCTTCCCTTGTTCTGCTTTTTGCTTTTATAAGGAGAGCTATTGCTTTTTGTTTATATTTCTTATATGAGCATACCTTAATTGAACTGTCACTAAGTTTGATAGTTATTTATAAGATACACTGATTTTTTTTTTTTTTTTTTTTTTTTTTTTGAGACAGAGTCTTGCTCTGTCACCCAGGCTGGAGTGCAGTGGCACAATCTTGGCTCACTGCAACCTCCACCTCCTGGGTTCAAGCAATTCTCCTGCCTCAGCCTCCTGAGTAGCTGGGATTACAGGCGCGTGCCACCACGCCCGGCTAATTTTTGTATTTTTCGTAGAAACGGGATTTTTTTTTTTTTTTTTTTTTTTTTTTTTGAGACGGAGTCTTGCTCTGTCGCCCAGGCTGGAGTACAGTGGCGCTATCTCGGCTCACAGCAAGCTCCACCTCCTGGGTTCAAGCAATTCTCCTGCCTCAGCCTCCCAAGTAGCTGGTACTACAGGTGCCCGCCACCACGCCTGGCTAATTTTTTGTAGTTTTAGTAGAGATAGAGTTTCACGGTGTTAGCCAGGATGGTGTCTATCTCCTGATCTCGTGATCTGCCCGCCTCGGCCTCCCAAAGTCCTGAGATTATAGGCGTGAGCCACCGCGCCCTGTCCGAGACGGGATTTCACCATGTTGGTCAGGCCGGTCTTGAACTCCTGACCTTGTGATCCACCCAACTCAGCCTCCCAAAGTGCTGAGATTACAGGTGTGAGCCACCGTGCCCGGCCCGATACCCTGATTTTCTTAATAAACAGTCATATCACCTGCAAATAAATGATATTGTCCCACGCTTCGTTTCCATTTTTTCCAGCTGAGTACACTGGATAGGATCTCTAGAACAATCTAGAATAACAAGGGCATTGGCAATATTCAAGAGGGTTCACGTATGCCCTGAGTAAGACACTGCAGAACTGGCCTTAAGGCCTCTATGGACGGATATAAAAGGAAACGGGTTTCAAAGGACGATGCTCTAGGGCACTGTGTACTCCATGGAAGACCTCCTGTTCCTCAGCTTTGCTGACATTCACAGTCTCAAATATAGCAACTTTCCTAACAACCATGTGGAAAAATCCCATCATGTTCTCAACCACTGTTTTTGTCCCAGTCACGAGACATTTAAGACCTCCAGCTCATTCTTTATTCCCCAGACGCTAATCTCCAAAGAGTTTGGTAAAACACATTTTCTGACCTCATCTCTTACTGTTCCTCATCTCCTTTCACTCTTGCACCATGCCCTCTGGAACTCCACATCATCTTCTGTGAAATTTTTGCCTTCTCACTCTGGAACCTAACCTTGTCCTGAAGCCATCATTTTCCCAAGGTCCTTGCAAGAGACATCTGTTTTCTCTCTTACAGCCCTACTATCACTAGGCCTGGTGGAAGATTAGGTATCCTGTGTTCTGGAATAGTTTGAATAACATAGGAATTATAATTTTTTACAATTAATTTATATATAGAATAGCCTATAAATCTCTCAGTACTTAACATGCTTCTAGTTGTAAATCTTTAACAACCTTTTCAATGTTTCTGTGTTGCCCGTCTATTCATATTTCATTCTCCTTGAATAAATCTTGCTAATTCACTTTTTTTTAGGAAAGTTTCAATTTTATCCAGATTTTCAGATTGTTTAATAAACAACCCCAACTCATTAAAAGTTATGTTCTTTAGGCCAGGTGTGGTAGCTCATGCCTGTAGTTCCACTACGTTGGGTAGGCGAAGGCAGGGGGATAACTTGAGCCCAGGAGTTCGAGACCAGCCTGGCCAATACAGTGAAATCCTGTCTCTACTAAAAAGGTACAAAAATAGGCGGGGTGTGGTGGTGCATGCCTGTAATCCCAGCTACTTGGAGACTGAGGCATGAGAATAGCCTGAATTGGGGAGGCGGAGGTTGCAGTGTGCCAAGATCCTGCCACTGGACTCCATCCAGCCTGAGTTACAGAGCCAGACCCTGTCAAAAAAAAAAAAAAATATATATATATATATACACACACACACACATATATATACACACATATATACACACACACACACATATATATACACATATATATATATAAAATGTTCTTTGAGTGTAGCATCATTGGTTTCCCTTTTTTTTTTTTTTTTTTTTTGAGATGGAGTTTCGCTCTTGTTGCCCAGGCTGGAGTGCAATGGCCCGATCTTGTCTCACCACAACCTCCGCCTCCTGGGTTCAAATGATTCTCCTGCCTCAGCCTCCTGAGTAGCTGGGATTATAGGCATGTGCCATCATACCTGCCTAATTTTGTATTTTTGGTAGAGATGGGATTTCCCCATGTTGGTCAGGCTGGTCTGGAACTTCCAACCTCAGGTGATCCTCGCACCTTGGCCTCCCAAAGTGCTGGGATTATAGGCCTGAGCCACAGCGCTCAGCCCATTGGTTTCCCTTTAAGCCTATATCAAATGGAGGGAAACCACCTCAAAATCCCCTGTGTATCATAAAATTGAATTGTTTTGCTTTATATACCTGATGGAGAAATAGAAGCACTGAGGTCTGTGAAGGCACATTTATTGAGGGAGGGGATTGTGGCCTATTTCTTTGACTTGGCTTATCACATGTGTTAGATGCATTGAACACTCAAAAGGGGACTATATTGACTGTGCCAGATGGAATGAGAATTTCTTTGTTTCCTGCATAGGTTAGTTGGGTGTAAATCTAGGTACCTCACTTATCTCCTTTATCTTTCCTGTACTACCTACGTTGAGTATACCTATATATCTGTTTAAATCTTGGACAATCCAATATTCTGAAAGCATTAAAACAGGAGTACTTAGCCCTACTATTATATTAAGGCATTAAACCAATTAAATTGAGACCCTACTATGGACAAAATGCTTTACTATACTGAGAAATATAAAGAAAAATGAGACATGGTCTTTGCCATCCAAGAACTGACAATCCAATTGGGAAAACTTGTGTTGAAGAAGCTCCAATAAAAGTTTACAAAAAAATTACTGGCCAGGCACGGTGGCTCATGCCTATAATCCCAGCACTTTGGGGGCTGAGGTGGGTGGATCACAAGGTCAGGATATCAAACCCATCCTGGCTAACATGGTGAAACCCCAACTCTATTAAAAATACAAAAAATTAGCTGGGCATGGTGGCACATGCCTGCAATCCCAGCTACTCAGGAGGCTGAGGCAGGAGAATCGCTTGAACCCGGGATGTGGAGGTTGCAGTGAGCCGAGATCGCGCCACTGCACTCCAGCCTGGGTGAAAGAGCGAGACTCTGTCTAAAAAAAAAAAAGAAAAATTACGAAACATCAGTATAGTATTATTCTATTCAATGTCGATCCAGTCAGTTTTCATATACCCAGTGCTATACTGGACATTATTTGTACAAAGACTAGTGGTCCTCAAGAAGCTAATGATTGAGCAGAGAATCTCAGATATATAAAATTTGTTACACTCTGATGTAATTTATTCATCTCTGTGATGAATAAAATGCCACATGAGAGTCCAAAAGAAAGTTGTGTCTGGGTAAGGAAATGAGTGGCTGAGAAGATGATGATAAATTTAACTAACACAGGAAATGCAGGCAAAATAGCTCATTTTAGTGGGATGCTCATTTTAGCTGTTGGAGCTGAAGATTACATTTTGAAATCAGTTTCACTTTAGTAATAACTAAAACACTGGGGACAAATGCCCTGGCCCGGGGAAAGAATCTGTAGTAAGTTAAGATTAAAAAAAAAAATCAGGCTAGAATCATGGGAAAAATTCAAGATGTGCTAAAGTTCAAAACGGGTGCTGTGAGAGTTTAAGGAAGGCAAAGTTTAATTCTTTCTGAGATCATCAGGGAAGGTATTTTGGAGGAAGTGAGATTTACAATGGAATTTAAAAGTGCAGATGAGGAGAGTATAATATTAAAGAAGATGGAAATTCCAGATCTAGAGAACTATTTGAATAATAGTTGATGAATGCTGCTTCAGAAATGTAGTTTATTCATAAGAAGAGTAAAGTTGAGGAGAGATGGAGAGAAATTGTACAATGATTGTAAAGCTGGTTATTTCAAGGTGTCAACTAGTAGGGGATATGTTTGGCTATAGAAGAATTTTGAGCAGGAGAGTTTCAGAATCAGCTGTGAGTTTCAGAAAGCTTGTGGAAAGCTCTCTGTGGAAAAGTAAGGCGCTCTATCCTTTTCCAGGCCAGATCTCCAAATGGCCCTTTTGTTAGGGAACCAGGGAGAAATCTCTGTCTTTCCTGGGCGGAAAAAGGAGATGGAAGGATATTTTTTCTTTCTCCAAGATCCTAGGTAATCTTTAACTCAGACCCCTATCTGACCCATAAACTAAAGAAATAGACTGATTAATCATCTAATTATGAAAAATCTGGCTTTTAACTTGAGCAAATTTATAAACTAGTTATGACAGCCTTTCAGAAGAAAAATATCTTTCATCATCCCTGTAACTTAAAGAACAGAGTCTTAAATTGTATATTATTTATAACGTTGGCAATTGGAAATTGTTCAAAAGTTTGTCACTGAAGAATAAATTATTTGTGACTTTATAATTATTTACATTTCAGATATGATATATTTGTTCTTACAAGTAGAAAAAAATGATTTTTTTATCTATGAAATTCTGTAGCTTCCTTTATTTACATATCTCAGTGATTTATGAAACCATCTTTATGCTGTTTTATTTAAAAAAAAGAAGAAGAAGAAGAAGAAATGCTTAAGAATTGTTATTCCTGGAAATAGTTCTATTTATGCATGGCTATTAAGTTTTAAAAAATCAATTTAAAGAGGATCTTCCATTATATTTTACTTTTCATTTCATATTTTACATTTTTTTTCCTGAAACACTAACATGGAAATGCTTTCGGTTGTAAATTTCCAGGGGAATATAGAAATGGTATTATTGAAAAGCATAAAGAAGATTAAAAAGAACCAGGAGAGATGCAAATGACATTTCAAATAAGGATGTTGAAAGTTTCTTCATGTCATTTGTTATTTGCAGGAAGGGTGAGAAGTTTTGCTAGATAATGTTGACAATTGTTTAGAAAACTTTCTACAGGAATTGGAAGGACACGTGACTTTCCCATGAGGAAAAGAGAGCAGGTATTTCGCTGGGCCGACTTTAACCTTAAGTACCAGAGACAGAAATGAAACTTACTCTTCTGAGAGAGTTAGCAGTGGTGTTCAACGTTTTACAAACTCTCCCCGGAGTCTGTTGCTAAATTTGTGCCCAGCAACGTTCATACCTTATTCATGTTCCATAAAAGAGAGGTCAAGGGACGTTAGAGTTTGTTGATTTTAACAGCCTGAGAATTTGAGTCCAGTGGGATTAAAATCCCCTCTCACTTCCTTTATGAAACCACTGTGCTATTATTTGAATAAGTTGTCTGGGTATCTTTTTGATTTCTGTGAGGCACTATAGTAAGGAGAGATGCCATGATGAGAATCAGAACTCACGTATTAAGCACACGTTGTCTCTGGACATAGACCAGACAGTGGGGGTTTCTATCAGCCAACTTGAACTTAATATTCATGACACAGGCAGCAGAACAACATTAAGACAAGATATACATAATCAGAAAGGCAGTTTTCCTAAACTGTGTTTTGATAAATGTTCATATATGTTCCTTGAAAATAAACAGGTAAAATATCCATTTAAAGTACAAGATGGATTAATAGATTTTCTTGTAATTAAGTATGAAAAGTTCATTGATATGATTTTGGATTCTATATTTCAAGTAACCCTTAAGAAACTACCAGATGCTAAATTTTGGTATAGTACTACAGAATACCCACAATTTTCTGAAAATGTTGTTTAGAAACTCCTGCTTTTTTTTTTTTTTTTTTTTTTTTTTTTGAAACGGAGTCTCGCTCTGTCGCCCAGGCTGGAGTGCAGTGGCATGATCTCGGCTCACTGCAAGCTCCGCCTCCTGGGTTCCGGCCATTCTCCTGCCTCAGCCTCCTGAGTAGTTGGGATTACAGGTGCCAGCCACCACGCCCGGCTAATTTTTTTGTATTTTTAGTAGAGACGGGGTTTCACCATGTTAGCCAGGATGGCCTCGATCTCCCTTCCTCGGCCTCCCAAAGTGCTGGGATTACAAGCAAGCCACCACGCCCGGCCAGAAACTCCTGCTTTTTAAACTACATGTAATACCAGATTTTCTTCAACTACTTCAACCAAAACAACATTTCACAAGACTGCAATAGCAGTTGGGAGTATTCAACTATCTACTTTTAAGCCAGACATTAAAGTGATTTGCAGAAACGTAAAACAATGCTACTGTTTTCATTGATTTTTGTTTGTTTTTTAAAAGCTTTCATAAAAATATGTTATGTATATTAACATGTTAGGGTATATTTATTATAGCTGTTTTATTTTATTTATCTATTTTTATTTTATTTATTTTTTTAAACAGGATCTCGCTCTGTCATCCAGGCTGGAGTGCAGTGGTGTGATTACAGTTCACTACAGCCTTGACTTCCCAGGTTCCAACAATCCTGCCACCTCAGCCTCCCGAGTAGCTGGGACTACAGGTGCATGCTACTACACCCGGCTCATTTTTATATTTTTACTGGATGTGGGGTTTCACCACATTTCCCAGGCTGGTCTCGAACTTCTTGGCTGAAGTGATCTGCCAGCCTCAGCCTCCCAAAGTGCTGAGATTGCAGATGTCAGCCATCGAATCTGGCTGTAGCTATTTTAAATTAATTAATTAATTAATAGTTTATAAATGTTAAAAATGGCTCTTAGGGTCAAATGCACTTGAGAAATGAAGATAGAATATTGAATGTCTTCAAATAAGTCTCAATTGTATTAACAGTACAGGAACAAATTTGTTCTTACTGCAAATAATAAAACCACCATCATTGAATATACCTGATTTTTAAATTAATTTAATGTTTTATGATACAGTGATTTAAAATTTTGATTCTAGATTTACTTAATATTGATAATTGGTTTGGCAGCTCTAAATGTTGGAAAAAAGAAATGTCCCAATTATATATATAAAATAACACTTTAGGTGTGTTTCATTGCTAACAATAGTAAATATTTCACATATCTCCCTTCACCCCCATTTCCTCTCAGACTGATCTTTTTCCCTCGTATTATGATTGATAATGAACTTCAACTTGGAATAGGAATATCAACTCTGTCATCTTCTTACTTCTCACCTGTCCTTACACTATTAGAATTACAATTTTTGGTCTTTATTTAGACTGTGAGTGTGAGGCTAAGGTCGGTTTAAACTAGTTGATGTAATGGACAAACACGCCTAACCCAGGACACATAACTGTCAAATGTTGGTACACACTGAAAGCAAAGTGGCCGGACGTGGTGGCTCACGCCTGTAATCCCAGCACTTTGGGAGGCTGAAGCAGGGAAATCACCTGAGGTCAGGAGTTCTAGAACAGCCTGATCAACATGGAGAAACCTCATCTCTACTAAAAATACTAAATTAGCTGGGCTTGGTGGCACATGCCTGTAATCCCAGCTACTTGGGAGGCTGAGGCAGGAGAATCTCTTGAACCCAGCAGGCAGAGGTTGTGGTGAGCCGAGATCGCGCCATTGCACTCCAGCCTGGGCAACAAGACCAAAACTCCGTTTTTTTAAAGAAGGAAGGAAGGAAGAGAGGGAGGGAGGGAGGGAAAGAGAGAGAGAGAAAGGGGGGAAGGAAGGAAGGAAGGAAGGAAGGAAGGAAGGAAGGAAGGAAGGAAGGAAGGAAGGAAGGAAGCAAGCAAAGCTCGAGTGAAAGAGCCATGACCAGCCCCTTTCCTCTTCCTGAGGTGCAGCTCACCACACATGAATGCCTGGCACAAGGACCAGACCTTGTCATCACTAGCAGGTGTCCCTATAATAGATACAATGAATGACACTTTGAGAGGCCAAGGCAGGTGGATCACTTGAATCCAGGAGTCCGAGACCAGCCTGGGAAACATAGTGAAACCTTGTTTCTACAAAACACACACACATACCCATGTGAGCTGGGTTTGGTAGCACATACCTGTAGTCCACCTACTTGGGAGGCTGAGGTAGGAGGTTGAGGCAGAGTTGCAGTGAGCTGTGATTGCACCACTGCACTCCAGCCTGGGTGAAAAAGTGAGACTCTGTTTCAAAACAAAACAAACCAAAAACACAATTATTTGTTATTATTATTATTATTTTTTTTTTTTTTTGAGACGGAACTTAGCTCTTATTGCCCAGGCTGGAATGCAATGGCACAATCTCAGTTCACCGCAACCTCTGCTTGCCGGGTTCAAACAATTCTCCTGCCTCAGCCTCCCGAGTAGCTGGGATTACAGGTATGCACCACCATGCCTGGCTAATTTAGTATTTTTAGTAGAGATGGAGTTTCTCCATGTTGGTCAGGCTGGTCTTGAACTCCCGACCTCAGGTGATCCACCCGCCTCAGCTTCCCAAAGTGCTGGGATTACAGGCATGAGCCACCGTGCCCGGCCTATTTGTTATTATTTTTAAGATACAAAATAGGTATGTTCTTTCTATATGCCTATGGTTCCTTGTACATACCTTTCAGAGGCACACCTCATTTTATAAATAATTCCTCTAGACCATTCAGGCTAAAAGAGAAAATCTGGTCAGAAATATAAGCTTCAATAAAAACAAACAAAATAAACAATTTTTTTTTTTTTGAGAAGGAGTCTTGCTCTGTTGCCGGCTGGAGTACAGTGGTGCAATCCTGGCTCACTGCAACCTCCACTTCCCAGGTTCAAGTGACTCTCCTGCCTCAGCCTCCTGAGTAGCTGAGATTACAGGCATGTGCCACCACGCCCGGCTAATTTTTGTATTTTTAGTAGAGACGGCGTTTTCACCATGTTGGCCAGGATTGTCTCGATCTTTCGACCTTGTGATCCATGCACCTTGGCCTCCCAAAGTGCTGGGATTACAGGTGTGAGCCACCACGCCCGGCATAAACATAATTTTTGACTGATGAGGAAAACAATTTTATTACCTCTTGAAAATTAACAGCACTTCTGAATCATAAAAAGTGTTTTTGGCTGGGTGCGATGGCTCACGCCTGTAATCCCAGCACTTTTGGAGGCCAAGATGGGTGGCTCACTTGAGGCCAGGACTGCAAGACCAGCCTGTTCAAAGCCCCATCGCTACTAAAAATACAAACATTAGCTGGGTGTGGTGGCTCGGGCCTGTAGACCCAGCTACTTGGGAGACTGAGGCAGAGAATTGTTTGAACCTGGGAGGTAGAGGTTGCAGTGAGCCAAGATCACTCCACTGCACTCCATCCTGGGCGACAAGGCGAGACCCTGTCTCGTAACAAAAAAAAAAAAAAATTATGCAATATAAGTATATTTTCTAAGTAAGAACTATTCACTTGAGCAAATGTTATTTAAATTTACAATCAGCCTATCTTTACCCTTCTTTTAATCGTACATATAAATCTGGTGTAATGAACTCCATAGGACATTTCTTCACTGTGTATTGAAAATTGAGTTTCCTGTGTTCACAGAGAGCACAGAGGGTTGAGAGTACTTTTGGAATGATGGCAGTGGTTAAAAAAATAGAAGAATTGCTTCTTGGTGACTAGATAGAAAAACGATACAAGAGTTTAGCTATTGCCAAATTCTACTTTTTTTTTTTCCTTTACTAAAATCAAAACCCATTATTGCTGGAAAGGACTTTAGTGACCATGTAGGGCTAATCCAATTCTCCTACTTCACAGGAGGCAAAAATGAATTAAACGGCTTGCCTGCTGTTACACAGAGTGGCAGAATCAGGATCAGAATCCAGTTTTCCTCACTGTCAGTCCCTGTAATCCACATTCTGTCACTGAGGAAGACTGCCCCACAAGTGCCCTTTTTACAGAGTAATAGTCCTGCAACCAAGGTGCAAACAAAGTACTTGTGCCAGCTCTGTTGTATAAGGCACGCTTCCTTGAGGTGACATTTATTGTCCAGAAATTTTATCTGTAAGCAATGTCTCTGCTGAACTGCTTCACAAAACTCCTAGTTTCCCTGACACACATTCTTATTATTGCCTTTCAATGAGCCATTTATACTCAGAAGCTTCAAACTCCTACAGGCGGTAAAACAAAAAGAATAACAAAAAGGAAGTAAATCAGTGGTAATATAAGCAATATACTGACTTAGGATAGGACGTGCTCTAGGAAGAAGTGTTATTATTTAGCTTCCTCATGTTATTGCAGTAGACACAAGTAATGGCAGCAGAAGCTAGCAAGTGGGTGTGTATAAGAAAACAGGTAAAGCCAGTACAGTTATTGCAGTTTTATTTTAGGTTGAATGTTGCAGGAATGAATGCCCACCTGTATTTTATTTATAAAATATGTCTCTGCCGAACTGCTTCACAAAACTCCAAGTTTCCAGCCGGGCATGGTGTCTCACACCTGTAATCCCAGCACTTTGGGAAGCTGAGAAGGGTGGATCACCTGAGGTCAGGAGTTCCAGCCCAGCCTGGCCAACATGGTGAAACCCTGTCTCTACTAAAAATACAAAAATTAGCCAGATGTGGTGGCAGGTGCCTGTAATCCCAGCTACTAGGGAGGCTGAGGCAGGAGAATCGCTTGAACCCTGGTGTTAGAGGTTGTAGTGAGCCGAGATTGCGCCACTGCACTCCACCCTGGGCGACAGAGTGAGGCTCTGTCTCAAAAAAAAAAAAAAAAAAAAAAAAAACCTCCAAGTTTCCCTGATACACTTGGCTTTCAATGAACAATTTATATTCAGAATGCTGGTCTGCCATTGCTTTGCATGTGTGGCAGGTCTAATTGTACTAGAGCCTCGTCAATCGTCTTGATGGAACATGGCAAGGTCCTGGCCCCAAGTATAGGGGAACATTCTATTAGAAATGCTTCATTTGTTTTTTTAGGCCATACCATGATGATTACATCACAGAAAGGGAAAGGCTCTCATCAACTGGATTTTGCAGAGACTATGCAGAATATTAGGGTTGTTAGAGCTTGGAGATCCTTTATCACAGTGATCAGACCTAAGTTAATGCTGATGTCCTCAGCATCTCAAAACCTGCTTTCCGAGGTCCACCCAGAGTTTGGTCACAGTTTTCTTCTTGGTAGCTGACCCACTCAGGGAAATGCTGGTCACTCTGGGAGAGGGAGAAACAATGAGTCCTAAAAAGAGGTAACATTACAGTCCTTCCTTCTGAGCAGGATGAAAGGGGCACTCTAGTGGGAAGAGAATTAAAAGACAACTAACTATTCAGCCAGTGCCTTGTTTAACCAGAAATCAAAAGCTGACGCACCAAAACCATGGGTATCATGAGAAGCACAGGCTGTCATTTCAGAGGTGAATATGATTGGGAGAAAAGTGGGAGATATAAAGGAAGTAACATTTATCAACCAGCCACCATGAGCTAGGTGCCGCCCTTGGAAATGCATGCATCTTATCACAAATTCTTATAAAACTTGAGAGGTAAGTATTACTTTCCCTTACCATAAGGGTGAAGAAAGCCAGAGAGGTTAAGACACTCACCCAAAGTCACATGGTTTTCATATGTTAGAGCAGGGCTCAAATTAGGCTATCTCAGACTCCAAAGTTCATGTTCTTTCCAGGACACAGCACCAGTGAATAAGTAGAATAAATAAATAAATGTGACTATTTATTTTTATAGGAAATTACTCCCTTAGTAAAATAAACAAATAAACCAATAAATAAAATGAGTCAGAGGATTCTTAGTTATAGGTGAGCTCCCTACCCACACATATATTCCCAGCAAAGGATCAACCTACACTGATGATGTTGACATAATCTATGACAAAACCTAAATATAATTTGTTCTTGTTCCACATGGAAAAGTGAAAGTGAGGAATCACTCAGTGAAGAAGAGAAGGGAAGAGAACTAGGCATCTGGCCCTTCCTTCCTAGATGCCTTCTTAGGCATGGGCTAAGATACCTGGTAGGGTCACGTTACCTCATGCTTAGAGCAGAGGCTGCCACACAGGTATTTCCAGCATATTCTGCTCTGAAAGAGATCCTCTAGAAATTTGTTTTAAAAATTTGGAGGTGATTTTTTTCTGTGTCAAAGCTTTTTCTTTCAGCGATTGTGATTATACTACATTTAAAAATGAATAACTATGCCAGGCAGGGTGGCTCACACTTGTAATCCCAGAACTTTGGGAGGCTGAGGGAGAATCATTTGAGTCCAGGAGTTCAAAACCAGCCTGGGCAACAAAGTAAAATCCTGTCTCTACAAAGAAAAGAAAAGAAAAATTAGTCAGTGATGGTGGTGTGCACTTGTAGTCCCAGCTATTTGGGAGGCTGAGATGGGAGGGTTGCTTCAGCCAGGGAGGTTGAGGCTGCAGAGTCTTTTTTGTACCAGTGCACTCCAGCCTAGGTGACAGAGTGAGACCCTGTCACTAAAACAAAAACAAAAAAGGAAGAAATAAACAAAATTTTCTCCTCTATATAAATTCTCCATGTTTTTAATGCCTGTGAAATAAACAAGGGCCAAAGATTCCAGGCAATGACTGTAGAACTAGTGCTAACTCACATTTGTAGAGAAAGGGACACACACAAAAAAAATCTCAAAACTCAGTTGCCCTATTTAATGAATTACGCAATTAAACTCGAAATTGATAAGATGGACCTTCAGGCAAACCAAGTCTATTACTTAGTTACTCTACTCCCATTTTCTTCTCTACTTTGGTTTAAAATAATACCTAGCATGCTGCAAGACGTGAGATCTCTGGCAAAAGAAGGCAAGGTAACGAGAAGGCAGGATCAGACTGACATCAATTCCTCTCAGCCCTGTCCAAGAACCACTGGGCAGGAAGAATCTGAGTTCTTGAATTCTGTTACAGTGGCTGAGATCAGTCTTTCAATGTGTCTAAATGGGAGATAAATCATTGTTAACTTAAAATGCAACATGGTGATTTAGCATGATTTTAATTGGATTTGGGCAATAAAAATACCCTTTGCTACTAAAAAAGAAAGGCAAAATTTGAAAATGGTGGTTATGTAACCTCTTTATGGCAAAAGAGCAGTCTTTTGAAAGATTGTCCTTCTCACAATAGAAGCTGATTTTATATTCCTAATGAGGCATGGGAGACACAATCTATTCTTGAAACGTTTCAGCTCTCTTCAGTGTTCCTTATTTAATTAGAATTGCTCCCTATACTAATCTCCCTAGCTAGCAATCTAATAGCCATTAGCAGAATTTATTTACTGTTTAAATTGCTACTTAAAGTTTAGGCTTGCTTCCAAGGATTTAAGCAGGTAACTAAGAGAAGGTTTTTGCCTTTTAAGTCAAATCCTTGCCTCATTTCTTCCTTCAAATTATGCATAAGAAAATCCCTGTAAAAACAAATCAATAAAATCATAGCCCTAGCAAAGGAGACTTGTTTATTTTTTTGGGTGGGGGCAGGGGAGATGAGGAGTGAGGGTGCAAGCAGATAGTAATTATATATATCTGAATGCACCTGCAAATCTGTAGAATTTGGAAATGTTTATGTATTTTTTTTCTTTTTTTGGTAAGTGCATTTACAGATGTGAATCTTAGAGTTTCATACTATGTGAGAGAGCCAACATATGAAAACAATTAAAACAAATCTACCACACTTACCAGGTTAGCATCTTTTACTTTCCTAAATGAGAGAAAAGAAAGTTATAGAAGTAACCAACCTAGAATTTGGGAGGTTCATAATGATAATTCCAGTACATTCCTGGGGAAATCTTACATTAGCCAGTTCTATGGAATTCAAATAGAATGTAAAATTTAGTATTAATAGTTTGGTTTTTAAATTCCCATCTCTTTTTCTATTTTTAGATTAATCTAATTAGAACAGCCATAAAATAATTACATTCCATAGTTATTAGGAATAGGCATATCAATGAAAATAAAATGATACATTCCTAAATGATAGTTGACCAGGGAATTAAATGGCAAACTTTGTGTAAAACATTAAATAAATTGTTCTTAAATTTAAAGAACTTGAGAAAACTCCCATAGATTGTTCAACTACTTTGTCACTTGTGATTCATTAAAATGCAACACACAGAAGGGATAGGAAATATATTTTCATAGATCTCCTTTTAGATATGTTTCCAAATCAAGCAATTTATGTATCAAAAATGAGAAGGTTTATGTATTCTTTCATTAATTTATAGGATTAGAATTGCTGAGAAGTAATTGGATATGACCTACTACTAATCACTGACTTGAAAGAATAGTAACAATGCTGCTGACAATTCCAACAACCAAAATCATAGTAGAACTCATACAAGAAGATAGCTTAGCTTAGAATAGCCTAAATTTTATTATTATTTTTTTGTTTGTTTGTTTGTTTGTTTGTTTTACAGTTTCACTCTGTCACCCAGACTGGAGTTGCAGTGTTGTGACCTTGGCTCACTGCAACCTCTGCCTCCTGGATTCAAGCGATTCTTGCTCCTAAGCCTCCTAAGTAGCTGGGATTACAGGTGTGCACCACCATGCCTGGCTAATTTTTGTATTATTAATAGAAACGGGGTTCACCATGTTGGCCAGGATGGTCTCTAACTCCTGACCTCAGGTGATCTGTCTGCCTTGGCCTCCCAAAGTGCTGGGATTACAAGCATCCTTCGTGCCCAGCCTAGAATAACCCAATTTTAAATAGTACATGGTTGCCCAGGTATAAAAATGACAGGACAGAAATATCATCAGGTAACCAAGAATGCATTTAAGAAATATTTATCTGTAAGCAGAGATAGAAGGAAACAACTATAATACAATCAGAATATTGGTCTTGGAATCAAAAGTCGGCTTCAATCAAAATATTTTCATTTGCATGCTATGTGATTTGGAGCAATTCTGTCATCTACAGAAACTCCAATTTCCTCTTATGTAAAATAGGCATATTAGTATCTGTCTTAATTCATCTCAGGGCTGTGAAGATCAAAAGTCAAAATGAGACAATGGGGCAGACATAGTGGCTCATGCATGTAATCCCAGCACTTTGGGAAGCCGAGGTGGGCAGACCATTTGATCTTAGGAGATGAAGTCCAGCCTAGGCAACATGGCAAAGCCCTGTCTTTACAAAAAATACAAAAATTAATTGGGCATGGTGGCACATGGCCTGTAGTTCCAGCTACTTTGGAAGCTGAGGCAAGAGGATCACTTCAGCCCAGGAGTTTGAGGCTACAGTGAGGTGACATCACGCCACTGCACTCCAGCCTGGGACAACAGAGTAAGACTCTGTTTCAAGAAAAAAAAAAAAGATAAAGCTACAAGTCAATAGTATGGTACTATGGCATAAAATGTAAAGAATTGCTATGATTCATACAAATGTAGCCTCAATTTTCATGTTAAGATCTGAGACTAGAGCTCAGGAATAAGATAGAGCAAGGGTACATTGATATCCAATGAGGGTTAATCTTAGATGGTTTTATTTATATCCTGCTTCACCCTACAATGAAAGTAAAGTGGCTGTCAACCAAAGCTGCCATTTATATAGTGCTGTGTTCATTGGCATGTACTCATGCCACAAACATTAAAGGCACGTGCTAGATGCTGGGGATAAAATGTCCCTTGTCCTGCAGAGGAATATACAAACCAACTTAAAGAAGATAGTGGTAATATAACATAGTTTTAATTATGAGACGTCCTATGAGAAAGTATTTTTAATCCCTCTTTTATATATGAGTAAACTGATGCTCGGGAAAGTTAAGAAACAACCCCAAGGCTATTCAATAAATGGAGGTGCCAGTGTGAGATGCCATCTATAAAGTTTCAAAGTCAGTTGACTTAGGCTATTATATTTGTATTGTATCAAATCAAAAATTGTTGGTGCTTTTTAAGAAATCCCTCTAAAGCTCTAATAGATAGTATATAAGCTTTCAGAAAAAAGTATATTCAATATGCTTGAATATGGTTTTCTGTTTAATACAAGAGGCTTAGTGTTCCAATTTGCTAAAGTCTCACCCACTTGTCATCATCAGGCAGCTAATTCATAATGTCTTGGTAAATCTAAAGAGATAGAAAATCATAACTTTTTTTTTTTAGACAGAGTCTTGATCTGTCGCCCAGGCTGGAGTGCAGTGGCGCTATCTCAGCTCACTGTAACCTCTGCCTCCCAGGGTCAAGCGATTCTCCTGCTTCAGCCTCCCGAGTAGCTGGAATTACAGGCACCCGCCACCATGCCCGGCTAATTTTTGTGTGTGTATGTGTGTGTGTATTTAGTAGAGACGGGGTTTCACCATGTTGGCCACGATGGAGACCTAACTATCTTAATTAAGAACCAAGTATTTCCCTATATCCCTGCTTCCTGTGATGATTAATTTTTTGTGGCAACTTAGTTGGGCCATGGTACCCAGATATTTAGTCAAACATTAAACATATTGGATGTTTCTGTGAGAGGGTGTCTGTGGATGATTTAAATTGGTGAACTTTAAGCAAAGCAGACTGCCTTCCATAATGTAGCAGATCCTCATTCAATCAGTTGAAGCTTTACTAGAACAAAGACTAAACTCCCCTGAGCAAAGAGGAATGCTGACAGCAGACACTTTTGGTCTATTTTATTTTATTTATTTATTTTTTAGATGGAGTCTCTGTTGCCCAGGCTGGAGTGCAGTGGTGCGATATCAGCTCATTGCAACCTCTGCCTCCCAGGTTCAACAATTCTCGTATGTGAGCCTCCTGAGTAGCTGAGATTACAGGCACATGCCACCATGCCTGGCTAATTTTTGTATTTTTGGTAGAAAGGGGGTCTCACCATGTTGGTCAGGCTGGTCTCAAACTCTTGGCCTCAAGTGATCCACCTGCCTCAGCCTCCCAAAGTGCTGGGATTACAGGCAGGAGTCACCGTGCTCGGCCCATCCCTGTCTTTTAAAACCTTACCATCAGTTCAGTAGAAGCATAGATGTGTAAGTAAGAGCAGTAACATGATACAGGTGCCCCACCCAAATGACAATGAATCCAGTACTTTAGAGAAGAAAGGAGGGAGAGGTAAGTTTTTCTTCAACTAGTTCTTGCATTTCTAATTCATTCCACCAAAACAATCATCTGAGTTTTTCAAAATAGCTACTTCCTCATATGCTTCCTTACTTAGATGCCATCAGTATATCTTTACTCTCTATTGAATTCATCCATTCATTTATTCATCAAATAGTTATTGAGCTTCTCCTATGTTCCAGGTGATGGGCATGGTCCTGGGAATCCAGACGTAAATCAAATAATAAAGGTCTAATGGAGACAAAGACATTACACAAATAATCACACTGATAATTAAACTTCATTGCTAATATGTGCCATGAAAGAAAAAGACTGAAGATGATGACAGAAAAACACGAAGGATTTTATCTAATCTGGACTAGGGGTTGGAAGCAGTTTTCCAGGGGAAATGGTATTTTTACTGAGTTTTTGTTTGTTCGTTTGTTTATTTGTTTTGAGATGGAGTCTCTCTCTGTTTCCCAGACTGGAGTGCAGTGGCCGATCTTGGCTCACTGCAGCCTCTGCCCCCCCAGGTTCAAGCGATTCTCCTGCCTCAGCCTCCTGAGCAACTGGGATTACAGGCCCCTGCAACTACACCCAGCTAATTTTTGTATTTTTAGTAGAGAAGGGGGTTTCATCATGTTGGCCAGGCTGGTCTCCAACTCCTAACCTCAGATGATCTGCCCACCTCGGCCTCCCAAATTATAGGCTTGAGCCACCATGCCCGGCATTTACCGAGTTTTAAAGGAAGAATAAAAGTTTATCAGGTGAATGGATGTGGGATGAGGGTTAAGGAAGGGGAGTTTCCAGGTAAAGACAACAGTATTGTGAAGGACATGTGGAGGAAAGGGACGAGACTGAAGCTAAGAAAAGAGACAGGAGGCAGAGCAGCTGTGGTGAGCGGGTAAGGCTGGTAGGAGGATAGTTATTGGCGTAGGGAAGAACCAGATCTTTATGGATCTTGAAAGAACTGGAACTTTGTTCAAAGAGCAAAAGGAAGTCATCAAATACATTCTTTTCAAAGGTCTAAATTCTTAGAATATACTCGTAAAACATCCCTCTTACAAATTGATTGAAAAATGTTATGGAAGGGCCAAAAATAGATTTGGGGAGATGCATTAGGATGAAGTCCAGGTTCTTTAGTCTGACTTTCAGGCTCCTTAGAATTGAGGCCAAACCATGAGAATCGCTTGAACCCAGAAGGCAGAGGTTGCAGTAAGCCGAGATCGTGCCACTGCACTCCAGTCCAGCCTGGGCAACAGATCAAGACTTCGTCTCAAAAAAATTTAAAAAATAAAATTAAATAAATAAATAAATAATAGTAAAGAATTGAGACCAAACCTATCTTTACAATCTTTCTTTTTTTTTTGAGATGGAGTTTTGCTCTTGTTACCCAGGCTGGAGTGCAGTGGCCTGATCTCAGCTCACTGCAACCTCCACCTCCCAGGTTCAAGCAATTCTCCTGCCTCGGCCTCCTGAGTAGCTGCTATTACAGGCGCTCACCATCACATCCAGCTATTTTTTGTATTTTTAGTAGAGATGAGGTTTCACCATGTTGGCCAGGCTGGTCTCAAACTCCTAACCTCAGGTGGTCCACCCACCTCAGTCTTCCAAACTGCTGCTGAGATTACAGGCCTGAGCCACCAGTGCACGTGGCCTATCTTTACAATCTTAAAACTTTTATTTTATTTTATTTTATTTTATTTTATTTTGTGGCGCAATCTTGGCTCACTGCAACCTCTGCCTTCTGGGCTCAACCAATTCTTCCACCATCAGCCTCCAGAGTAGCTGGGATTACAGGCGCGTGCCACCACGTCCAGCTAATTTTTTTTTTTTTTTTTTTTGTAGGGACGGGGTTTCGAACTCCTGAGCTCAAGCAGTCAGTCTGCCTTGGCCTCCCAAAGTACTGGGATTACAGGTGTGAGCCACCGTCCACCCCAATCTTCTTTTTCATTTCACTTTTACATGAATGTACACTTCTGCCAGACTGATCCATTCACTGTCTCCTGAACAGGATTTTGCTCGATCCTGACTTTTGGCCTTCCAGAACACCTCCTCACTACCTATTTTTTAAGACTCGGACAAAATTTTATCTGTCCTCAGTATCCAGGTTGACCATCATCCCTTTCTCTGAATATCCAAAATGACTATGTATTTCTACACATTTAAGATGCAACAGATTGTAAGAAACTTCATTATTTTTGAACTACGGAGAAAATAAAAAGTACTGCTGATAAATTCATGACAAAATCTCAGTGTTAGCCATTTGAGATACATAAATTGGTCATGCCAGCTTATCATTGACTTGAAATTTCTCTCATCTATTCATCTACTGTGGGCCTCTCCCTTTCTTAGGTCCGATAAAGAGTTTAGTTGTTTTTTTGCAAGAAAAATTGGATTGCATTCGTTTCTCCAATAACAGATATTTGTTTTCTTACTATTAAATTTAAGCCAAATAACATAATATTAAATATTCTTGACTTTGGGCATATACATTTTCATTTGAAGGTATTTTATTTTATTTATTTATGTATTTAATTAATGAATTAATTAATTTTTTTGAGACAGAGTCTCACTCTTGTTGCCCAGGCTGGAGTGCAATGACGTGATATCAGCTCACTGCAACCTCTGCCTCTTGGGTTCAAATGATTCTCCTGCCTCAGCCTCCGGAGTAGCTGGGATTACAGGGGCGTACCACCACGCCCAGCTAATTTTGTATTTTTAG
Organism: Homo sapiens; assembly: GCF_000001405.40. Taxonomy (NCBI): domain Eukaryota; kingdom Metazoa; phylum Chordata; class Mammalia; order Primates; family Hominidae; genus Homo; species Homo sapiens. The sequence continues at coordinate 80,321,984 of NC_000013.11, forward strand.
TAGAGATGGTGTTTCACCATGTTGGCCAGGGTGGTCCGGAATTCCTAACCTCAGGAGATCTGCCCGCCTCGGCCTTCCAAAGTGCTGGGATTACAGGTGTGAGCCACCACGCCCAGCCTCGAAGGTATTTTAAACAACAATTAAAATGTGTAAGTAGGTTGGGCACGGTGGCTCACGCCTATAATCCCAGTACTTTGGGAGGCCGGGGCAGGCTGACCACGAGGTCAGCAGTTCGAGACCAGCCTGGTCAACATGGTGAAACCCTCCACTAAAAATACAAAAATTAGCCGGGCGTGGTGGCGGGTGCCTGTAATCCCAGCTACTCAGGAGGCTGAGGCAGGAGAATTGCTTGAACCCAGGAGGTGGAGGTTGCAGTGAACTGAGATCACACCACTGCACTCCAGCCTGGGCGATGAGAGCAAGACTCCGTCTCAAAAAAAAAAAGTGTGTAAGTAAACTTAAATGTGATAATGCATATTAACTCACTTGAAGTGGGACAATATGAATAACTGTGATCAGCTTCAAGCACAACAAACAATGAAAAATTATGTCATGAATACCGGTTGCCTAGCCAATGGCAATTATAAAACACCATTGATTGCAAGATGCCTTCTAATTTCAGAGATGCACAAATGAAAATACAAATGTTCATCCTAGAATTGAGTAACTTTGTTATATCTCTAACACTCAATTGATAATAACATTTTGATGTGTTATTATTTATGCTCTTTCTTCCTGCAACACCTTCAATATACATTTACTTATTTATTGATTTATTATTTTTTGAGACAGAGTCTCGCTCTGTCACCAGGCTGGAGTGCAGTGGCGCCATCTCAGCTCACTGCAACCTCCTCCTCCCGGGTTCAAGCAATTCTCCTGCCTCAGCCTCCTGAGTAGCTGGGTCTACAGGTGCGTGCCACCAGGCCCAGCTAATTTTTGTATTTTTAGTAGAGACAGGGTTTCATCATGTTGGCCAGGATGGTCTCAATCTCTTGACCTCGTGATCCTCCCGCCTCAGCCTCCCAAAGTGCTGGGATTACAGGCATGAGCCACCACGCCCAGCCAATACCTTTATTATCTACTGAATTATTTTCCATTTGGGAAGTTATTAATGGAAATATGTACTACTTGGGACTATGAATGAATTCTTAAAGTTCTTCTGTTAGTGCATTCAAAGTAGATAAACATTGGATAAAACTAGTCCATAAGTTAATTAACATGGCTATTTCTTTTAGTAGGAACATTGCAAAAATCTATATATGTAGAGACATACATGTATATACACCCATGCATACATTCTCTGTGGAAAAATAATAATCCATTAAAGAACATAACTATATTATCAATATATCCATTTAACAGTTCCCTTTAATAAGGTACTTTATTTAAAAGGGAGTATCTCTTTTAATTATCAGATCACTCATGAAGTATATATTACAACTACCATTTTTAGGGAAGAAACTGAACCACAGAGAAGTTAAGTGATTTGCTCATGAAGACACTTGGCCTACGGTTCTATAGCTAGTGTTCTTCCTATTAAGTCATGTTATAAATTTTACACATTTAATATTTTATAGATAGTTGCTATGCTTTGAATATGGTTTTGTCCCCACCAAAATTCATGTTGAGGTTTGGTTTCCAATATAACAGTGTTGAAAGATAGTGAGAACTTTAAGAGGCTTTGGGGTCATGAAGGATCCACCCTCATGAAGGGATTAATGCCATCTTCAGGGAATGAGTTCAGTTACTGAGATCAGTTACCAAGAGAGAGAGAACAGGTTGTTAAAAAGCAAGGCTGTGGGCAAGCACAGTGGCTCACTCCTGTAATCCCAGGACTTTGGGGGACCAAGGTGGGCAGATCACTTGAGGTCAGGAGTTAGAGACAAGCCTGGCCAACATAGTGAAACCCCATCTCTACTAAAAATACAAAAATTAGCTGGGCGTGGGGATGGGGACTTATAATCCCACCTAATTGGGAGGCTGAGGCAGGAGAATTGCTTGAACCCAGGAGGTGGAGGTTGCAAAAAGCCGAGATCATGCCACTGCACTCCAGCCTGGGTGATAGAGCAAGACTCAATCTCAAAAATAAATACATAAATAAATAAAAGCAAGGTTGCCCCTTGTATTGTGTCTCTTTTGCACACATTCACTCACTGCTGTCTCCTGTGCTCTCACCGTGTGATGCCAACTGCCATGTTATGATGTAGCATGAAGTCCTTGTCAGGTGTGGCCACCCAATTTTGAACTTCCAGGGACAGTGAGCCAAATAAACCTCTTTGCTTGATGAATTGCCTATGAATTGCCCAGTATTTTTTTTTTTTGAGACTGAGTCTCACTCTGTCACCCAGGCTGGGGTGCAGTGGCGTGATCCCGGTTCACTGCAACCTCTGCCTCCTGGGTTCAAGCTATTCTCCTGCCTCAGCCTCTCAAGTAGCTGGGATTACAGACCATGCCCAGCTAACTTTTGTATTTTTAGTAGAGACGGGTTTCACCATGTTGGCCAGGCTGGGCTCGAACTCCCAACCTTGGGTGATTCACCCACCTCGGCCTCCCAAAGTGCTGAGATTAGAAGTGTGAGCCACTGTGCCTGGCTGAATTGCCCAGTCTTAGGTATTCTGTTATAATAACAGAAAATGGACTGAGATAGTTGTAATAATCAACAATAATAGATCCACACACATTTCAGATTTCTATCTTATTAATGGATAATCCAATTTAGAGTTACTTGTCATACAAAAAAATTTCATTGCATTACCAATGGAATTACCTATGTCTTTTTTTTCAGTAGAAGTGTATTTTAAAGTCAATTACTTAGGTGAGTGGGCAGAAAATAACATGTTAGAACCTATCAACAATGAAAGATGAGTGAGGAAAGGAAAAAAAGGGCTTCTGAATATATCTTTAATCAATAATACAACTTTTAAAAATTGATTGTTACTTATAATGGTTTATACTCATCTGAGTGCAGTGGCTCACACCTGTAATCCCAGAACTTTGAGAGGCTGAGGCAGGTGGATCACGAGGTCAGGAGTTCAAGACCAATCTGGCCAACATGGTGAAACTCCATCTCTACTAAGATACAAAAAATTAGCCAGGCGTGGTGGCGCGCACCTGTAATCCCAGCTACTTGGGAGGCTGAGGCAGGAGAATCGCTTGAACCCAGGAGGTGGAGGTTGCAGTGAGACGAGATTGCGCCATTGCACTCCAGCCTGGGTTACAGAGCAAGACTCCATTTCAAAAAAAAAAAAAAAAGGTTTATACTCATGTTTGCTCCAAAACTTTTCAAATAACTTAGAATAAATGAAAACATATGTACCACAAATTGGAAATTGGCCGGGCGTGGTAGCTCATGCCTGTAATCCCATATCACGCCACTGCACTTCAGCCTGAGCGACAGAGCGAGACTCCATCTCAAAAAAAAAAATAAAAAAAAGAGAAAAAGGAAAATATATATACCACAGATTAATTAAAACTAGGGTAGACTAATAATTTTACTTAGTGAACCATTCTAAAAGTAGGGTTTTCATTTCTTATTTATTTAAAAAATTTTTTTTAATAGAGACTGAGTGAGTCTCACTATGTTGCCCAGGCTGGTCTTGAACTCCTGGGCTCAAGTAATCTTCCTGCCTTGGCCTCCCAAAGTGCTGGGATTACAAGCATGAGCCATTATGCCCAGTCCATTTTGTGTGTTTTTTAGGCAACAAAGGAGTTTTGTGAATTTTATGGGACAGTTGACTAAGTTTTGTATTCAAAACAAATTTATGTCCAGTAAGAAACATCAGGCCAGGCGCTGTGGTTCACACCTGTAATCCTAGCACTTTGGGAGGCTGAGGTGGGTGGATCACAAAGTCGAGAGATAGAGACCATCCTGGCCAACATGGTGAAACCCTGTCTCTAAAAATACAAAAATTAGCTGGGCGAGGTGGCACGTGCTTATAGTCCCAGCTACTTGGGAGGCTGAGGCAGGAGAATAGCTTGAACCCGGGAGGCAGAGGTTGCAGTGAGCCAAGATCGCACCAGTGCACTCCAGCCTGGTGACAAAGTGAGACTCCCATCTCAAACAAACAAAAAAAACAAAACAAAACAAAACAAAACAAAAAAAAGACCAGGCGCGGGGGCTCAAGCCTGTAATCTCAGCACTTTGGGAGGCTGAGGTAGGCGGATCATGAGGTCAGGAAATTTAGATCATCCTGGCTAACACAGTGAAACCCCGTCTCTACTAAAAATACAAAAAAATTAGCTGGGTATGGTGGTGGGCGCCTGTAGTCCCAGCTACCCGGGAAGCTGAGGCAGGAGAATGGCATGAACCTGGGAGGCAGAGTTTACAGTGGGCCAGAGATCGTGCCACTGCACTCCAACCTGGGCGACAGAGCGAGACTCCATCTCAAAAAAAAAAAAAAAAAGAAACATCAATAAACAACATTTATAACATCAACAAACTCTAAAAATGCACATCTCTTTGTATATGTGTGTGTGTGTGTGTAATTACTAGAAGCCATTATTTAGAAACTTAAATCTCTTATAAATAAACATTGATCTGAAATTTATTAATTCTTTCAGCTTCATATCACTTTTTTTCTTCTTTTTTTCAAGAACGAATCCCTTTCTCATCCATGCTTGGCTGTCTGGACTCCTACCTACCACTCCATTTTTGGAAAATCATCCAAGTCCCTTTGTGACATTACCCTAAGAAACTTCCCTGATCCCACTTACTACACCCAAGATAGAGTTAGTCACTTCCCCTTCATATGTATTTTAAGTCTTTTATCATGTTTCTTATACTCTATAGTAAATACATATGTAGTTGTCCTACAGACAACTTCCAGCAAGGCAGATGATGTCTTATACCTTCAGTATTTAAAACTGTGCCTGACAAGGGGAACTGATAGGGGGTGGAATTCAACTGAAGTAAGTTCGAGTTACTATTTCTTTAGTACTTACTTTGTACCAATCACAAAGGCTAATATTTCACGCACATCTCTTCAGCCTTCACAGTAACCTTTCGAGCAGGAAGTATTATCTCTCAGATGAAGATGTTAGGCTTGGGAAAGTTGAGTAACTTGCCTTTGGCCACACAGCTAATAAGTAACAGAGAAGGACGTTCGTACAGGGGCTTGTCACCAAGGCTGATGAACTTAAAGCACTATAGGAAAGTAGGTGTATTGGACATATATTGATATTTTACAGATACAGGTCATTTTTCTTTTCTTTCTTTTTTTGAGACGGAGTTTTGCTCTTGTTGCCCAGGCTGGAGTGCAATGGCACGATCTCGGCTCACTGCAACCTCCGCCTCCCAGGTTCAAGCGATTCTCCTGCCTCAGCCTCCCGAGTAGCTGGGATTACAGGCGTGTGCCGCCACACTCGGCTGATTTTTGTATTTTTAGTAGAGATGCGGTTTCATCATGTTGACCAGGGTGGTCTCGAACTCCTGACCTCGTGATTCGCCTGCCTCACCCTGGGATTACAGGCGTAAGCCACCACGCCTGGCCCCCTTTTCTCATAGAATTTTAGAGGCTTCGCACTTAGAATGGAAATTCCAAAGTTATGGTCACAGTAATCTCCACCTGTCCTTTGACCTCTTTCTCTCACACAGCCGACAGCATTTCTTGCCGTGTGTCGGAAGGATATATGAATATATCACCTTCTCCTCACTACTCTCTCAGCTTTCTCTGTGGCAGGTTTATTTCTTTTCTCTTTTTTCTTTTCTTTTTCAGAGAGGGGGTCTTGTTCTGTCTTATACTCACCACAACCTCAAATTCCTGGGCTCAGGTGATCCTCCCACTTCAGCCTCTTAAGTATTAGCTAACAAGTAACAGAGAAGGGCATTTGCACAGGGGCTTGTCTCCAAGGCTAATGAACTTAAAGCACTATAGGAAAGCACGTGCATTGGACATACATATTTTACAGATACAGATCATTTTTCTGATAGAAAAATTTTTCACATGTAGTCCTAATAGCTAGGACTACAGATGCATGCCACTATGCCTGGCTAATTTTTTTTCTTTCTTTTTTTTTTTTTTTTGAGACGGAGTTTCGCTCTTGTTGCCCAGGCTGGAGTGCAATGGCACGATCTCGGCTTACCGCAATCTCCGCCTCCAGGGTTCAAGCAATTCTCCTGCCTCAGCCTCCCGAGTAGCTGAGATTACAAGCACGCACCACTATGCCCAGCTAATTTTGTAGTTTTAGTAGAGACGGGGTTTCTCCATGTTGAGGCTGGTCTCGAACTCCTAACCTCAGGTGATCCGCCTGCCTCAGCCTCCCAAAGTGTTGGGATTACAGGCGTGAGTCACCGCGCCCGGCCCTGCCTGGCTAATTTTTAAATATTATATTTTTTAAAGACAGGATCTTTCTATGTGCCCAAGCTAATCTTAAACTGCTGGCTTCGAGCAGTCCTCCTGTCACTGGGATTACAGGAATAAGCCCCTCACGCCCAGCTACAGCAGGGTTTCTCGAATTAAGCATTATTGGGATATTGGGCTGGATAATTCTTGTTATGGAGGGTTGTCCTGGGTATTGTAGGATGTTTAGCGGCATCCCTGGCCTATACCCACTAGATGCCAGTCGTTTCCCACTCCAGCCCCCAGTAGTGAAAACCAAAAATGTCTCCAGACTTCGACAAACGTCCCCTGCCGGGTCAAATCACCCAAGGCAGGAAGCAGACAATTCTACCAGTCTTTTTTTTTTTTTTTTTTTTTTAGTTGGAGTCTTGCTCTGTCACCCAGGCTGCAGTGCAGTGGTGCGATCTTGGCTCACTGCAACCTCTGCCTCCCGGGTTCAAGTGATTCTCCTGCCTCAGCCTCCCGAGTAGCTGGGACTACAGGCGCCTGCCACCATGCCTGGCTAATTTTTGTATTTTTAGTAAAGATGGGGTTTCACCATGTTGGCCAGACTGGTCTCAAACTCCTGACCTTGTGATCCCACCTTGGCCTCCCAAAGTGCTGGGATTACAGGCATGAGCTGCTGCACCCGGCCGGCTACCAGTCATTTTCTATGATTTATAATCTAATTCCTAGATAATCAGCTTCCAAAGGGTCATGAGCAGTCATTCCTCATTTGCTTGTTCATAGTCATAGATCTAACGAATGCTTTTTCCCTATCTACCATAATACCTTTTACACTGAAGATACACAATAAATACTAAATTAGTGACAAGTAATTACACTCTGGGCCTATAGTTTTGGTTGTTCATGTAAAAGGGCAAAGAAACAGATGACACATTATCAGAGTCACATCATGTGACTTTTCACAGATGGTTTGAAGTAAACCAGTACTCTGTAAAATAATTCATATTTTCAGTATTTCCAAAGTTTAAGCTTACACTTACAGTTCAAACAAAACTAAATCAATTAGGCTCTATCCTAATGGTGTGTAGGTCAGAGTCCAGGTGACATCAAGACCTAAATGCAAATGTTGATTGTGTGGTTGCCCATGTTCCTGGAGTCAGTTACTCACTACTAGAGTCATGTGTCAGAGACAAACATCTCTTGGGGCATCCTAGCCATTAGCTTTGCCAACAGAGCAGGTACTAAATTTATCCAAAGGCTTTGTATGTGCTATTGCTTGATACATGCTAGGCTGCTTGGTCACTACATTTTATAATGTTCACAGTGGCCATTAGATATGCAAATTTTTTGTTTTGTTTTGTTTTGTTTTTGTGGCAGAGTCTTGCACTGTCATCTGGGCTGGAGTGCAATGGCATGATCTCGGCTCACTGCAACCTCCCGAGTTTTCCTGTCTCAGCCTCCCGAATAGCCTCTCGAATAGCTGGGATTACAGGCACACACCACTACACCCGGCTAATTTTTTGTATTTTTAGTAGAGACGGGGTTTCACTATGTTGGCCAGACTGGTCTCAACCTCCTGACCTTGTGATCCGCCGGCCTCAGCCTCCCAAAGTGCTGGGATCACAGGCATAAGTCACCACACCCAGCCTAGATATGCAAACTTAAATGCTGTTCTGAACTTACAAACATGACTTTCTAATAGGAAACTCAGGAGCGGCCTTCTAGTGTGAGTAGCTACAGATATATTTTGGCTATTTTATGACTACTTTGGAGGAGGAAATCTGCGTTTGAGGCCAGGATGGGTGCACTATGCCTACTAGGAATCTGGAGAAATGAGAGATGATACAAACATGATATTTATTGGAACCCTGCTTGACTGTAAACACTATTGGTGCAAGTCAATAAACTAGATTTTATTTGGAGCAAAAACTGTTCCAAAAATGAAAGTTGCATTGGCCTAGGAACTGGAGAGGGTCACATAGGTTTTGAGAGGCATGTGAGCCTGAGCAGCCAGGTCTCGGGTATTTTTTGACAAGGGCAGAATTGCTCCAAAGCTCAACCACTTCTTTTCACAATATCATTTACACTTTTTTTTTTTTTTTGCCCCCCTAACTTGATTATTTCCAATTCATCCTTCTCTAGGTTCAGAAGCAAGCTAAAACTATGGGTTAATGGCAAAAGGTAAATTCCAGCAAGAACTGGAAGAACAAGAATAGACAGATCTTTTCAACTTGTTTCTTAGTTCTACATCTTGAAAAAGTATTTTTTTATTTGTATTTTTTTAAGGGAAGATTTTAGTGAGTCATGAATCTTAAAATTAAGAATAAACATAGCGACTGGGCGCAGTGGCTCACGCCTGTAATCCCAGCACTTCGGGAGGCCGAGGCGGGCAGATCACCTGAGGTCAGGAGTTCGAGACCAGCCTGACCAACATGGAGAAACCCCGTCTCTACTAAAAATACAAAATTAGCCGTGTGTGGTGGCACATGCCTATAATCCCAGCTACTCAAGAGGCTAAGGCAGGAAAATCACTTGAACCCAGGAGGTAGAGGTTGCGGTGAGCTGAGATCATGCCCCTACACTCCACCCTGGGCAAGAAGAGCAAAACTCCATCTCCAAAAAAAAAAAAAAAAGAATGCACATAGCAACATGTAGTTGTTCACATATTCATTAAACACCTCTACAATTCATTTTAGGATGTGGATATGGGATGGTGAGCATAGTTTTATTTAATGAGTGATGCTAATTCTGTTGCAACTGTCTTAGCAAAAACTCTTGAGGTATTTAAGTATCTGAAACCATTGCAAAGACATGGCGATCAAACCAACTAACGAGAATGCATCAACGTTTCCCTCAATTTCTGCACTCTCATAGCATCTTGCTTGTGCTTCTAAGTCCTGTCTTGCATTAGAGTTGCTACCGCTTTCCTTTTGCATTAGATCAACTAGCCCAGTAATTTGTAAGCAGTAGGCATCCAAAAACTAGGTTGAAATGCCAAATTTATATTTCTGTGCCCAAATTCTCTTCCAAGTGAGTCCTTGTATTAAGTCAAATTATTTATTCATCTCTGTGTATTAGCAACTGTTTTGAGAAATAAATTCATAAGTGATGCTGAAGCCTTACATGTCTCATCTAGCCAAGCCAGAGGCCAAGGCTTCTTTCTAATCTCCTTTAACAGTTTATTTAAAAAAAAAAAAGTATGAGTTGCCAAATAAGACTGACTTTTAAAAATTATTTAAGTCAATCAATCAAAATGTAGTATTAAATAAAAATGTAAAATATTTGCTAGGCGTGGAAAAAAGTTTAAATGTTACTTTTTTCCTCTTTTGCTATATTTCTATCTCCCTTTTTTCTTCTTTGATTGTAAATTAAATGAATGTATTAAGTTAAATTTTGACCAGAGGTGCAGTATCATCAGCGGTATTCACATTTTGCCTCTCATTATTCACACAGTTGTCTCTTGTGGTGAAAAGGGAGTGGCAGTGTGGTGTACAAATAAAATCTACAGTATAGGACATATACAGTCTTACTCTTATCCTCTTGTGAATGGCCAAACCCATGATGAAATACTCCAGATGTATAGCTTTACTCTGATGATCAGTTTTATGTCAAATCAGATAGGCCTTGTTAAAATTCTAATCTGATCTCCACTCAATGGAGACCCACCCTTAGTATGTCATAAAGAAGTGAGGCATTAGACCAAATTAAAATAGAAATTAACATGACTTTTGCCTTAACGGATATTGCAAACCAGAGACTGGATACTGATACAATAATGACGTGACTAGTTAATAACCTACTATTATATGTTTTCTTTATGAAAACAATGTAAAATATTCTCCACAAGTTGACAGACCTGTTTTTGAGCTGTACAAATTCAGCCCATTTTCAAAGTTGAAACTTCTGTGTTTATACCCTGGTCCTTGTGCACATTTAGGAGAGGAAGACAAATGGCCAATTGTGGGTATGACTTCAAGTGAAACTCTAAAACCATTAAACCTTTGAAAATTTTGACCTAAATGCTTAAAAGTTAATAAATTACATCAAACCCATCAACTGCCTATCAAATACCTTACAGCACTGTGCAAGAGCAAATTCATTTATCTGACATCATCAGTACCTTAACTTACATATCCTGGAGTCAAGTAGTCCTTGAGACAGAAGTATACTGAAGAAAGAAGTTATGCAAAAAGTTTGGTTGGGATTACTTGCCTGGGTTTTGGCTTTCTTCTTTCACAGACAATCCCCAGAGCAAGCTACAACATGGCAGAAATTTGGCAGGGCCTTAAAATCTCCTCCTCAAAACACATAAATGAATGTTTTAAGTAACAACAATCAAGTTGTCATTCTTATATGAATCTCAAATATAGAGCATCCACAGGTTTAAAAAAAATTAAAAAGCAAGAAACCACAAAAATGATTAAAATTCCCCTAAATGCTTAGCAGTTATGTTTGCATTATCATCATACTTTTACTCTATCACATCAAAATAATGGCCATTGGATTACAAATTTATCATGTTATAATTTTTCATGAACTTTAAATAGAGATTAAGAAATTGAGGTTATTCCTCCATATTTTTTCCCAAGTGAGATAATTTGCAACATTAAAACAGTTATTTTTGGCCAAGTGTGATGAATCACCTGAGATCAGGAGTTCGAGACCAGCCTGGTCAACATGGCAAAACACAATCTCTACTAAACATACAAAAATTAGCTAGGCATGGTGGCGTGCCCCTGTAGTCCCAGCTACTTGGGAGGCTGAGGTAGGAGAATGGCTTGAACCCGGGAGGCAGAGGTTGCAGTGAGCCAAAATCCCACCACTGCACTCCAGTCTGGGCAACACAGCAAAACTCTGCCTCAAAAAATAATAACCTAAAAAATAAATAAAATTGCTGGGTGCGGTGGCTCATGCCTGTAATCTCAGCACTTTGGGAGGCTGAGGTGGGCAGATCACCTGAGGACAGGTGTTCAAGACCAGCGTGACCAACATAGTGCAACCCCATCTCTACTGAAAATACAAAAATTAGCCGGGCATGGTGGTGCGCACCTGTAATCCCAGCTATTCAGGAGGCTGAAATGAAGCAGGAGACTCTCTTGAACCCGGCAGGCAGTGGTTGCAGTGAGTTGAGATGGCGCCACTGCACTCCAGCCTGGGTTACAGAGCAAGACTTTGTCTCAAAAAATAAAAATAAAAATAAGAAATTATTTTTAATGCAGTGAATGAGTGCCAGTTGCTTTTAATCTATTAGACATAAATATTTAATCTTCCATATTTTGAAAATTAATTCTATGCTGGTATATAGATAAAGTCAACATTTAACAGGTTAGTTGGAAGCTTCTTGAAAAATCCAATTTTCTTTTTTTTTTTTTTTTTTTTAAGACAGAGTCTTACTCTGTTGTCCAGGCTACAGTGCAGTGACACGATCTTGGCTTACTTCAACCTCCACCTCCCAGGTTCAAGCAATTCTCCGGCCTCAGCCTCTCAAGTAGCTGGGATTATAGGTGCCTGATACCATGCCCACTAATTTGTATTTTTAGTAGAGACGGGGTTGCATCATGTTGGCCAGGTTGGTCTCAAACTCCTGACCTCAAGTGATTCACTTGCCTCAGCCTCCCAAAGTGTTGGGATTACAGGCGTGAGCCACCATGCCTGGGCTCCAATTTTCTTATTTATCTTTAAACAAATTATTTTCATAGGACTTAATATACTTAATTCAAATCCTCTTCAAATTTCAGTTGACTATCACTTTATGCTCAATATTCAAACCAATGAGTTATACTTTAGAGATCAGAGCCCATTAAAAAACTGAATTAGAGGCCGGGCGCGGTGGCTCACGCCTGTAATCCCAGCACTTTGGGAGGCGGAGGCGGGCGGATCACGAGGTCAGGAAATCGAGACCATCCTGGCTAACACGGTGAAACCCCGTCTCTACTAAAAATACAAAAAAATTATCCGGGCGTGGTGGCGGGTGCCTGTAGTCCCAGCTAGCCGGGAGGCTGAGGCAGGAGGATGGCGTGAACCCGGGAGGCGGAGCTTGCAGTGAGCCGAGATCGCGCCACTGCACTCCAGCCTGGGCGACAGAGCGAGACTCCGTCTCAAAAAAAAAAAAAAAGAAAACCAAGTTAGAAAGCAATTCCTAGGTCAGTAGTTGCCACACTGCACATAATCACTTGTAGAATGATTAAAAATGCTAATTTCTAGGCCACACCATCAGATTCTGACTCAGTAACTATGGGAAGAGGTTCTTACTTTTTCAATAAACACTCAATGACATCTGATGCAATATGTCTAAGAATACTTTGAAAGCCACTTATGCGGTGAAAAAAAAATATTTAACTCACAATTTTTATACCAAAAAGAGCTCTGTCAATGCACATGGCAGTTTTTGATGAACAAACCTAATCAGTCAAAATTTTTGTGCTTTACACATCTTGAAAACTACATAATGAATAAGAAACCCTACCCTATTCTCCAGCAACGGAATTCTTCCTTAGACCACCAGGGTGACGTTTTAAGAGTGTTAGAATTGAAACATTCAGTAACTCAAAGTTGAAGCTTAAATCATTTCTAAGTTAACTATGTTTCTTGGAGGAAGTCAGAGGAAATTGAAGGTCCTTAGAGCAATGTCTTAATGTAGGAGGCTATATAGTTCCTTGAAAGCCAATTTTAAAAAACATAACAGAAGACAACCTGTGCTAAGAAGGAGCCTCAGAACAGGAAACAAGAGATTAAACAATAATGACAGATAAATTATTTTCTAGACTTCCAGTGACTCTTGGCAGCAAAAGTACAAACTTTTGGAAAAAAAAAAAACAAACATCAGCCACAAAGTGACTAATCAAGTGACTTAAAACCTAGTATTTGTCAAGATGGGCTTGCAGCAGCTTGCTGTACCTTTGCTTCTAAAAGACAGCTCCAAGCACACTGACTCTCATGCTGCATCTTTTTCCCAGAGCAACAATTTTCTGAATAATCTGATTGAATAAGTCAGGGCCTTAAATTGGCCTTCTTTGTCTTGAGTAAGACCAATATCAGATCAAATTTTATGATACCAAATACCAGAATCAAAGCAAGTTCTTTTTTTCATGTCTTTTCTAACATAAGGAATTAGGTAAAATGGTGATGTTTCAGAGTCAAAAATTAAACAGACTGGAAAAAACACTGCCACGATCAGCTAAGTCAAGAAAATATTTTTGGCCTTAATTTTAAGAACTGATCTGTGAATACTGCATGTCTGAGACACAGGTGACATTCAATAAATGTTTATTGAGCTAAACTCATTTCACTAGTTTTGAATTATCCTCATGGAATTAATCCTTGATACTGTATATAAAGAAAAAGCTTAACTGTTAATTTTTAAGGAAAGTCTCCTGAATCAAAGATTTAAAAAAAAAAACCAAAAAAAAACCTCTGCAGAACAAACACAAGTCAGATAATCTGCAAAAAAAAAAAAGGGGGTGGGGGAACAAGAACAATGATATAGCTAAAATCAGCTCCCATATAAGTACAGATAGTAAGTTAAATGTTCTCTTGATTGCTAGAATTGTCTCTGAAAAATCATCAAATCCAGCTTACTTTAAAGCGGCAATCATAAAATAATTCTATAGACAAGTGATTAACTATTTCATTAAAATGTTACCCTTAACATAAAATGTAGTTTCTTACACTTGAAAGAAACAAGATAAAAGAAGACAAAACAGCTCAGTTTAATTTCAAACGTTAATATATTTTCTATTTTATATTGGACATATGCATCTGTAACCCCTCATTTGCAGCAACTATCACATCCTCATAAAAGGGGCAAAATTTGTAAGATGCCTCTTAAAATAAATATTCTTTTTTATAAAATAATAAAACTTCAAATAAATATTCTTTACACTAAACAATATGTTGAAAAAATTAGAAAATAAAGGTTGAATTTTACTGTAACTGTACAATATACATGAAGTCCAAAGGGAAATCAGAGTCTTACAATAAAGGCTTTCTGTAAGGCAAAATACAATCTAAAAACATACTGATTGATTCACATTCTTCCGAATGTACAACATATTAGTATAATATTTTGTGTCTGTGCCATGTAGTATGGCACAACTTGTTTTTCACAGTTGCAAATATTATTGTATATACAAAAATATAGCACATTCTCTCTGGAGAAAACAATGGAAAAAAGTCATCTGCTAATTTACAAGTTTTGCAAGTACTATTCACAAACAAAAACTTTGCCTAGGAGTGTCTGTGTTGCTTTAGCTTATGCAATACATGGGTCACCAAGTTCTGTATCTCATACTTTGAGCTCCATTAGCTGAGTTCTAACAAGCATATCAGTTAAAACGGCACATGGACAAAAAGCATTTCACCGCAAACAGCAAAGACTATCCCACCTTTCTATTAACAGTGCCAAGATTATAACTGTTTAGTTGGTTGCATATGTGTATTAAAAAAAGAAAGAAAAAATCCTCATTACTGTAATATTCCTGATTAATGATGCTATGTTGGTTTTTCAAAGTTCCTAGGGGGGACAGTGGGAACTTTGCAGCAAACTGTGTTTGAGTTTTTACAGCGGCAACCAGGCCTGTTAACCCGGTCATAACACCCCTGGCACAATTTAAGGCAACCCTTGGCTGGAAGGTAACACCATAAACAAGGCAAAAAGAGGGACATGACACCCATGGCTGACCATCGTGTACAACAGTGAGACTGGCTGCAAGAACATGGGTTGTCAGCACAGTTGTCCTCATCATCATTAGAACAGTGATAGAAGAGACCTTTCACACAGCATACACAAGTCCCATAGTCAATCACGTTCTGGGCCGAGCAAAGGCACTGCTTGTCGCAGATCCAGTCTGATGGCAGAGGCCTTGGGTAGGTGCACTCCTTACATTTGCACTTGCCACAGTCCTCACACCTGTAGGCGTGCAGGCCCAAATCTTCCTTGCTCAGTGGCTTAAGCTCACCTGGCTTGAGCTCAGATTTGGGTTGCACCCGGATTATGCCATCAGCAACAGGCCCGGAGGAGAAGGATGATCCTAGCAGTCTCTGTTCAGAGGAGCTGCTGCTGGTACTTGTCCTCGTACTGCTCCGCGACCCTGAGCTGACCGTGCTTATGGATCTGGACAGAGGGGCTCGTGCAGAAGAATGGACCTGCGAGTGCTGGAGCCTAGGAGGCTGGCGGTGCTCAGGCAGACCGTGGAGTCTCTCGTGTTTGTGCTGAGTGGAGGGGCGAGGAGCAGGCTTGAGCCCAGGTCTTGGGACGACAGTAGGCCCCTCTGTGTACTCATTGGTGTTTCGGATGGCTCTGATCTGATCCAGAGACAAGACATGTACCTGCTGGGTGAGGGCGTCTCTGGGGTCGGGCTCCCCACGCTGTCTGCCACCGTCACGGGGCGTCTGCAGCAAGGGCTGCGACCCGTTGCCACTCTGAGCTCTGGCCTCCATCAGGTCTTGGAAGTGTGGTCACTCCAGCAGGCTTAGAACACATCTGAACTCCTGAGGAAGCCAAGAGGAAAGAACGGTTGATACTCTAAGATACTTCCCACTCTCCACCCACCTGAATTGACTCCTCACTTCCCACTTTCCCTAGAGAAACAGGATTTGAAATGGAATGGCAGTAGGGAGGTATTAGCCATATGATCAACAACGCATGTACCCAAAAGTAAAAATTACGGCGGGCTACTGACAATTCTGTAATCCTGTGATGTACAACAATACAAAACTGATCTTTGAGTCACTTAAGTAAGAATTCCTTATTCAAAGAAACATACAATTTGTAAGGTTCAGGTTCAACGTAAAAATCGCAAGGAAGTATTGCTGGAATATAACACTGCTACCAATGTTTTCAAAAGTTGAAAATCCTTTCAAAATTTGAAATAGGTTTCCATTTGTCATAGTCATTTTTGCCTTAAGCGTTAATAATGCAACCTAGAAGATTCTTTCTTGGTTCTTAATTTTTACTTTTACATCAAACACTTTAACTGTGACGTATACGGCATTCTGTAACTTTTTCAAACCAGGTAGAATGAATATGGCATGCAAAAAAGTAAATACCCAAATTCTACAACAATCATGCCATTTTTTATTAATTGTATAGTAGCACAAAGTTATAGAACTAAAAGCAAATCAAATCCTATTAGGTGCCAGAAACACATTAAAGCAAACTTAACAAGAAGAAGACATGAATTTATTTTCAACTTCTCAACAACTTAAGAATTAACTATTTTACAGTCTGATAGCCTAGAACACCACCTTAGATTCTGCAGCTAAAAGGTTGTTCTCCCTGCTAATTGAGAACACAAACGAAGTGATAATAACCAGAAAAGCGTTTTAAAAATTCAAATGTCACATTTCGTATCTAGCATTCTGTCAAGGAATTCCTTAAACTGCAGTCCTTCTTCAATTTCAAAACGATCACCCCCTTTCCCAAGCCTATATGACAATAAAAAGTATAAAACAGGCAAAAGTGGACCTTTATCCGATCTCCGCTCTTTAGAATAGAGGCCACAGCGAACAAGGCAGGTGACAAACGTCTCCCAATTCGGAGCAAGGCAGTGCTGGAAACCGGATCTCCTCACCTCCAAAAGAATGGCAGAAGACAACGCTGCTCTTTGCTTTCACTTAGTTTATCGCCTCTCTGTGCCCCAACACCGTCCCCAGCAGGTGGGACACAGCCGATCCCCAGGGGAGTTTCTCCAGGCGGACTGACGCTGTCCATGGGCCAGGCTGCCCCCCTGCTTACGATCCCCAGACTCAGACAGGCGGGGGCCGCGGGCGCCTCCGAAGGGTACGTGTCACGAAATGCAGGAGCACACTTCCCCCGCCTCCCTCTCCCCAGCTAAGATCTCCCCCAACTCAAGAGAACTGCCTTCCAGCCCCAAGGAGCCACTCCGCCCCCAGGCAGAGGTCACGCCGCCCACTGCCAGGCTTTCTGCAAAGCCCCTCGGACATCCGGCACAGGTTTCCCACCCCGACACTGCGAGCACGAAAGCCCTGCCTGAGACACGCAGCCAGGACGCACAAGTCCAACCCACGCACACACGGCGACTCCACGCTGCACTGACCGAAGGGGGCATTGCCTGTAATCTGCACACGCCTATCTCCTTTTGGGTCGAGAGAAAAAAAAAAGATATCATATTTCTTAAAGTGAAAGAAAAATGGCTTTTTAAAAAAAGGGCATTTTCCAGGGTCCCACTGCTCACTCCGGGCGCGCAGGACCCAGCTCCCGGAGCTGTAAACTTTCGGTGCAGATTTGCTTGCAGTCAAAGTAGCATCTTTGAAATAAAAGGGGGCTTTTTTGTTTTTATTTTTTAAGTGATTTCTGCCGATCCGATCCCTGGCCTCCTTCTTCAAAGCTGGACTCCCTACCTCCGCCCCTCTTCTCTTTCCCAGTCCCCCCTCCCCTTTGAAAGTGCTTTGAAACCCCCATTAAGAACAGTGTGTGATCAGACTGAGGATTAGGGGAAAAGAACTTCAGCTCTAGGGTGGGGCAAACGGACACAGAAACTGCTTTGTAAAAAACACACAAGAATCCAAATTAAAACACAGCAACAACAACAACAAAAGGAAATAAAAAATTGCCTATTTTGCCACCTACTTTCAGGTAATGGAAAATGATCGCGACCGCTTGATGACTTTCTTCCTGCGCTGGGTCAGCCCGAGCTTCCAAAAATAAAATAAGTGTGACCCAGGCTGACCACGAAGAACGGAAGAGAGAGAGCTGCACTTCCGAACCGCAGAGACCCGGCGCCAGGCAGGGCGACGCTCCCACCCGCTCCGGGCTAGACTGTCCACACGGAGCAGAGGCGGGCACTCCCTCCACCCGGCACCCTGCCTTTTTCTCACCCTGGAAGTCTCCTGCCCCCGAGGCGGGCAACCTGTGTCCCCCAGCCCCACCAGCGCCCCGCCTAGGGACAGCCTCTCCCTGGACTTTGCCTTCCACCAAGAGGAAGAACAGGTTAGAAATGCGGGCGCCTGCAAAGGCAACCTGGAAAATACAAAGTGTTTTTCTCTCCCTCTCCCGCTCTCAGCGCCGAATTCGCGGCCAGTGCACGGCTGGGAGCAGACTTCAGGCTAGCTGTCCTCCGTCCCAACCCCCTAGAGCGCGGGCGCGCGGGGTCGCCTGTCGGGGACACTGCACGGGGTGCATACAGAAGTCCCCGCAGAGGCAGGCCGAGCCCAAGCCCCGGGCGAGGCAGGTCCGCGGGGAGCGCCCCGGATCCTCGCGAAGACCCTGCGGGATTTGAGAAAGGGAGGCTCGGGGAGAGACGGACCCAACTCCTGGTCCGGCTGCACCTACTCCATGTTGCCCACAACGCGCCGGCCGCGGCGCCAGGAGGGGAAGAGCCAAACGTGCCTCACCGTGATCGCGGCTTTGCACCAACCCCTCTCCCTTGGATTCTCTTCTTTCTGCGATGTGCAAATAAATCCAGTCTCGATGCAAACTTTTTTCCTTTCTTTCCAACCTCTGCTTTAGACCAACTTCCGAGCAATCGGCGGGAGAAAAAAAGAGAATTCGGAGCCAGATTCCCCGCTGATGAACACTCCGGGGTTCGGAGCTGGAGACGACTCCCCTTCTACAAGCGCACGCGGAGTATTTCCTCTTTTTTCTCAATGAACAAGAGGCCGAAGCGCCAACGGCAAGTCCCTTTTCCTGGCAGATGAGCGAATGGGAAAAGAAAACGGCCTTACGGAGAACCTAAAGCCAGATCGCCAAGTGGTGCGGCCGGGGCCGCGTCGTAGCGGAGGCGGCGCGGGGGCGCGGGCCGGGCCGGGCCGGGCGGGCGCGGGGGCCTGGGCGCTGCGCGCTCCGCCGGCCCCTCTCCTCCGCTAGCGCTGCGGCGCGCAGCTCTCGGCGGTGCAGACTGGGCGTTGTGGAGGCGAGGCAGCGAGGCCGAGGCGGGGGCGGTGGGTGCGGAGGAGGAGGAAGAGGAGGAGGAGGAGGAGGAGGAGGGTCTGGGGCCCGCCCGGGGGGGGCTCGCCGTTGGCCTGCGCCCTCGCCTTTCCGGAGGAGGCAGGGAGCTCTGCGGCGGCCGCGGCAGCAGTAAATGGCGTCATGTGGATCCGAGGCGGAACAGAGCAGTTGTTGTCCCAGAGGATATATCGCATCCGGTCCCAGCTCATTGGCTCCGCGGGGCTACATTCACTCACACTCCAGCGCCCGCCAGCGCTCCGAGCCGCAGGAGGCATTCAAAAGGGCAACCGCGCCGCCCCGCGCGTCCCCAGGCCGGTCCTGCCGCCCGAGCGCCGTCACGCGGGGCGCCCGCGGGGCCGGGCTGGGCACTGCAGGGTCAGTTTATCTAGTTTCAAGGAAACACTGACCTTAAGGTTTGCCCAGAGGCAATGAGGACGAGCCAGAGGCTCGAGCTGACTTAGGGAACTTTCTCCTTGCCACCAGGAAAGGGGAATGAACATTTAAGACTAATCTGGGCCACGCAGTGTTAGCATGAAAAACAAGTTGCAGGTTTTAAGACTTTATCCAGAATCCATTTCAAGTCTACCTCTCCCCTTTTCTGTTCCCCTTTGCGGAGCGGGTGACGGGGGCTGGGGCGGGGGGAGAAGAAGGGGGAGGGGAAGGGGAGCGGGAAGTGAGGTGGGAGGGCTATTGGTTTATTCTTTGTCTACTGGATTAACCCGATTATACACCAGGCACCAGCACAAACCGCCTCCCCCACCTCCGAGCCTTGTACGGGAGGAACGGAATGCAGATTCGAGTTTCAAGTACCTTCTGCTCTTGCTGGGATTTGCTTTTGATTGTGTCGACTTGTAGTTTTTCCGTTTATTAGAATTTCATTTTTAAGGGGGGTTATCTATGAATGGAGGCTTTTTGAAGAGCTTCCTTACTATTTTGCTTCATGCAGTAGCTAAAGTCTACAGTCTAAGCCTTTTAACTTAATTCATTAATAGACAGGAACAAGATTACTCAGGGCGACAGCATGGGCTTCCGAAATGGGGGGGCGGGGGGGAGGGAAGGGTTGGCTCACTGCAGATTTCCTTCTTCCCTTAACTAAAAGTCATCCTTCATTTCCCACTTTTCTTGCCACCTAGAACATTTCTCAAGATTCTGTTGTCCATGTTGAAGGTGCACTATTCTTTCCCATTTACAAAAAAAAAATAAAGATAGAAAATGCATACATATGCACTGTCCTAGCTGCCGTTCATTTACTAAGAAATGTGCCTTCACGTGGGAGCACCAGTGGAAAATTAAAACTTGCGCATACACACGCCTAATATTGCATTCTGTCGAGCGACTTACAGAATGCTTTTACTTTACAGGGAAGTACCTGCTTGTACGGTCAAAATTCCCGAATAGCACCTGCGATCTTGCCCCATGCGGGGTGTTCTTGAAAGCAGTGTTAGGAAAACATGGTGCTTCACTCGTCCAGCTTTAACCCAATCCATTTGCAGCTACCCTGGAACTAGCTGCCTTCTTCTGAGCTCCTGCTCTAGAATGTCCCCAGCGCGCTCTCTGCCTCGCTGCGGTCTCACCCTGACTTCTCCATGTTTCTCTAGGGCTCTCCTCTTTCTCTAGGGATTTGGAACCAGAGATGGCAAGGGAAGTGGCATGCGTTATTTCCGGGCGCTGGCCTACGTCCCCCGACCCCTAAGGTGAGGGTGGACGAGGCTACAACGGCCTGCTCCCGAGCGTCCCGGGACTGCGGGCGCAAAACAGCTGGGCCTCTCTGGCCACAGCCGCTCGCCGGACGCCCGAATCCATTGAGCCGACGGTGAACGCAGGCGCCGCTGCGCTCGCGGCCCCTCTGGCCACCAGGGGGCGCCCGCCCGGCGCGGGGCTAAGGCTGCTTTCTTCTCCGGGACACGACGCGGACAGGCTGGGTTACCTTCCAAAACGTGTGTGCATTAGGCCGGCTGGTTTAAAATGAATACAAAGATATTAATATAAACGACACAGAAGATAGCTTGCCCTCCTGTCTGCTTGGGAGGGTCAAAGCCTGGGTGTGCAAGGCTAGGCAGGAACGTGCTGCCGGTGTGCGGCCAGCAAGTCTCTCGAGCAGAGCAGGTGAAAGCAACGCCGTCGCTTCGCCTCTTCAAACTCCTGCACTCGATGGCGGCTTTTTAGGAGACATCTGTGCCTTGCTGGTCTCCCAGCGCTGCAGGAACTTTGCGAAGATACATCGTTAGGGATCAAAGCATGCAATGGAATTTAGATCAGAAACTTCCAGCTGTTTAGAGAACCTTATATTTTTATGGAGTTAATAGGGGAAAATCTAGAAATTTATATCTTATCTTCCATGAGCTATAAAGAATCTCATGTCATCTAGCTCTTCCTCCCACCCCCTTTCCTCACAATCTCCAGTTTGCTGACTGGGAAAACATTTAACCTGTAACTTAAGTTCAAGATAAACACAAGAACCCTTTGGATTCTTTCTGATTTACTCCTTAGTCTTTATATTAATTACTGCAACTGTTACTCTTTTTCAGAGACTGAAGAGTATCAAGCTACTATATTGTGCCTCCAAAGTTTAGAGAATTATAATCCAAAAGAGGAACTATGTTTTTGTGTATGTATGATGCATGCACAATGAAATGTCTAGTGCAGCTATTGTAATGTGTCCCCAAACTGATTCTCATGTTACATTCCAAAATTATAACTGAGACTAATTTTGGAAGATACTTTCAGAAGTATGATAGAATGTAAGGCAAAACTTAACACTACACACACACACACACACACACACAAACCTGTTTTCAACTGTGTTGTGGAACGTTCTAGAGAGACAACTCTGACACATGAACAGGTGTTGCCATTTGCCTAATGCTGGAAAATACAGAATCTATGGAAATCCATGCTGCACCAATAACTCACTGCTAAGTTTCTTTCTTTCTTTCTTTTTTGAGACGGAGTTTCCCTCTTATTACCCAGGGTGGAGTGCAATGGTGCGATCTTGGCTCACTGCAGCCTCCGCCTCCCGGGTTCAAGCGATTCTCCTACCTCAGTCTCCCAAGTAGCGGGGATTACAAGTATCCGCCACCAAGCCCGGCTGATTTTTTGTAATTTTTTTAGTAGAGATGGGGTTTCACCATGTTGGCTAGGCTGGTCTCGAACTCCTGACCTCAAGCGGTCCACCCACCTTGGCCTCCCAAAGTGCTGAGATTACAGGCATGAGCCACCACGCTTGGCCCCAAGTTTCTAATACTCACCAAGTAACATACCTTCCTAGTACTTGTCGTTAAATAGGACTCTGGTCACACACTTGGGATCTGTCATCTCTGGCTTCATTTTATATTCTGTATTCATTTATTTATAATTACTTCATTTTACAACTATAATCTCAACTTTTTTCAATGAGACAGTACATAAAATATGTGCATTTTGTTTTTTCCAATCTTTGGTTGAAGGCATCAATAGACATGCTTCTTTGCTAGTAGGTGTGTTGAGTGAGTTGAAGTGAGATATTTGTAAGATTGCACTTGCTGGCTGGTGTAAGCTTTGAATTTATGTTGTAGTAACGGGAGAGTGCATCTTTTAGCAACCGTAGCTCGTTTTTCCGGGATTGCACAAACCACTTGGCCTTAATAGGTTTAGTCCTAGTACTGATATCTTGCAATGATATCACACATTCTTGAGAAAAAGAAGAATGAATAGCTATTTGGTTAGTTTGTTAGTTCTATTACCAAGGCAATCTATTTGAAGATGGCACAGAATGTAACAGTGTGTGCTGCTTCCACGACTAACAATTTGGGGCTTTCAACCATTATCTCTCCTAACAGCCCAGTTGCAATAGTAAAATTAGTCTATGCATGGCCTCTTCAGGGACCTTCCTGAGACAAAGGGTTTTGTAATGATGGACCTTTTGTTTTGACAACTGTGACTCTAGTCATTTCACTTTTGAATTTCCCAAATTCTGTTGATAATGCCTCTAGAAGGGAATTGGGAGTGGCTGTAACAAAAGATGCAAAGGAATTCAAAATAGACCACTTGAGTTCTTATCTAGATTGCTTGAAGGACTGGAAACAGTTATCTCTGG
This sequence comes from Homo sapiens, assembly GCF_000001405.40. Lineage (NCBI taxonomy): Eukaryota > Metazoa > Chordata > Mammalia > Primates > Hominidae > Homo > Homo sapiens. The sequence continues at coordinate 80,345,250 of NC_000013.11, forward strand.
ATCTAACCTTCTTTGGAGATATATTCTTTATCCCTAACTAAACTGGGGGAAAGCTCTGGGGTTCTCTCAGGGTAAGAGGGGTGGTGTTGCAGAGTCGACCTTGAGCTCCAGGCTCCTGCGGGTCTGGTTTTTTCCGGAGGCCTTGTATTCAACTGGGATCCACCTGGTGATTTTTACTGGTTAATTAATGAATACTCCTGTGAGATGCATGCACATTATGACTACAGTTTATGCAAGGTCTGATGTGAACTGAAGTTCTATAACAAGGCAGAAACAGAATTTCTCTGCTGGCCAACACGATTTTTCTCATTATTTTTTTCAATTTATCTATCCTTTGGTTTGAAGATTAAACTTCTTTGTAGGACTGATATGTGCAGAGAAAACCTAATCAGTGAGGACATTGCATTCTTTCACTGCATTTCCCTGAATAGCCCTGGGTTTATTTGTTTTTGTTTGTTTTTAACATTTGATCCCCTATGTTCTGGATCATATAAGCAAAAATCATTAATTGAAATTAGTATTTGGATATTACTGGCCAAGATTAGTAGCAGTTGGAAGATTTTAGCCCCGGAATAGTTGGAGGGTTTTGCTTTTATACTTCCTATTATGTGGACACTTGGTCAAAAGGGCATAGGAAGTTCAACCTGTTCTCTAAGAAAGATGTAGTTAAACAGATTCCACTTAAGCCATTCTTACTGTGCAGATGCCACACAATATCAGGGCTGCCGGCCAGCTCGGAATTAACCTCCGCTAACAGATCAAGTCCAAAATTGTTCAGTTTGGTAAACGGACTATGATTGCATGCAGATTTAGTTTGTTTGTTCCTTTGGACAGGAAGTGTTTTGAAGTTACAGAGAATCATTTGAGAATATTGTGGGGTAGGTAGAAACAGCTTTGTTTGTGCATATTGTGTTGGATGGAACTTTAAAGGATAGACTGCTCCAAGGATCTGGAGACTATATATCAAGGCTGCCTTGGACTTCTTTGGAACCTGGAATTGAAACAGGAAGATTCTTCACCTTCTCATTCATTTTCTTTTCTTTTCTTTTTTTTGCTCTCTCTCTCTCTTTTTTTTTTTTTTTTTTTTTTCTTTGACAGGTCTCACTCTGTTACCCAGGCGGAAGTGCAGTGGTGTGGTCATGGCTCACTGCAGCCTTGACCTCCCTGGCTCAAGAGATCCTCCCACCGCAGCCTCACAAGTAGCTGGGACTACAGTAACATGCCACCACGCCAGGCTAATTTTTTAAATTGTTAGTAGAAATGAGGTCTTATTATGTTGCCCAGGCTGGTCCTGAATTCCTAGGCTCAAATGATCATTCTGTGTCAGCCTCCCAAAGTAGCTTACAGTGGCTTACAGGAGTGAGCCGCTGTGCCCAGCCCAGCATTTCATTCTTAAAAAAAGAAAGCACTCACTCCGATCTCTGTAGACACTAGACACTCACTAAACGCTTTTCAATGAATGAATGAAATTAAGAAGTATAATTAGGCCGGGTGTGGTGGCTGACACCTGTAATCCCAGCACTTTGGGAGGCCAAGGTGGGCGGATCCTCTAAGGTCGGGAGTTCGAGACCAGCCTGACCAACATGGTGAAACCCCGTCTGTACTAAAAATACAAAAATTAGCTGGGCGTGGTGGCGCATGCCTGTAATCCCAGCTACTCAGGAGGCTGAGGCAGGAGAATCGCTAGAACCCAGCAGGCGGAGGTTGCGGTAAGCCAAGATCGTGCCATTGCACTCCAGCCTGGGAAACAAGAGTGAAATTCCATCTAAAAAAAAAAAAAGAAAAAAAAAGTATGATTAAAATAAGATAATATTTTAAAGTCTTAATTTTGTAAAAGGAAATTCACAGTTTTTGAATTCTTTAATGGCAGAAGTTAAGTCATTCTGCTGTTCTAGAAATTACCATTGTGTTTTGCATAATTACTAGGAAGTGACTGAAACAAGTTTGTTAAGGCTATGATTATTTGGTTTTGTTTTGTTTTTTGAGACAGAGTCTTGCTTTGTCGCCCAGGCTAGATTACAGTGGCACAATCATAGCTCACTGCAACCTCTGCTTCCTGGGTTCAAGTGATTCTCTTGCCTCAGCCTCCTGAGTAGCTGGGACTACAGGCTACCTATTAGCCTGTCACCATGTCCGGCTAATTTTTGTATTTTTTCTAGAGGTGGGTTTCACTATGTTGGCCAGGCTGGTCTTGAACTCTTGACCTCAAGTGATCCACCCACCTTGGCCTCCCAAAGTGCTGGGATTACAGGCATGAGCCACTGCGCCTGGCCAGGGCTATGACTTTTAATAGGTGAAATATTAAATACTTATTAAATTACAAATAAATCTTTATGGAAATGTGAGGTAACTGGAAATAAAGCTGTAGGGAACATCTAGTTTTAAACTATATAACAAAGAAATGACAAAGAGGATGATGATGGGTGGGTAAAGAATGTAGGTAAAAGTAAACTTTTTACTTTGAAAGATATGACTATATTAATAATTAAAATTAAGTGTTAAACTGTAATTTCAAATAAGAAGTTAGCAGTCTGTTAACTTTCAAGAACACATTTTAAAAATAGCTCAAGGAAGCCGTCAATTAGTGGACAGTTTGCCGTTCATGTTGTATGTGAGAAATCCCCTTGCACTTTTGGTAAGTATTCTTCTCACCCTCATTTTACACCACAGAGACCTTCTTGCATTATATCCTAACATGTGTTAAAATAAATATATGAGCAAAATTAAAAATTAGATCTTCAGTCTGGGCACAGTGCTTCATGCCCGTAATCCCAGCACTTTGGGAGGCTGAGGAGGATGGATCACCTGAGGTCAGGAGTTCAAGACCAGCCTGGCCAACATGGTGAAACCCCGTCTCTACTAAAAATGCAAAAATTAGCCAGGCGTGGTGGTACACATCTGCAGTCCCAGGCACTTGGGAGGCTGAGGCAGAATTGCTTGAATGCAGGAGGCAGAGGTTGCATTGAGCCGAGATCGTGCCACTGTACTCCAGCCTAGGCGACAGAGAGACACTCTGTCTCAAAAAAAAAAAAAAAAGAAAGAAAAAGAAAAAGAAAAAGAAATTAGATTTTCAAAATCATTATTTTCTTTTTTTAAACTGTAGTTGCTAATAGAAAAAGATGCTCAAGATTGAACTTTTGATATCATAATAGGTTCCAGAGACTTTGGTAGTTCAAGAGAGCTGGATTTGGATGCAATCTAGACCACTTTGGGTGAATCTGATCACAATTGCCTGTTGCTTAGATTCTCCCCTGGCTTCACATTACTTTCTGGGTAAAGATCCAAGTCTTTCAAACAACTTCAAGGTCCTACTCTGGTCTGGCTGTTTTCCCTCACCAGACTCCTGTTACACCAGTTCTCTTCTCTTCTCTTTTCTTTCTGTTTTTACACACTCTCTTGCTTTCTACCCTGCAGTTATGAAGGCTACTTTTTAGTTGCTCAGAAGCACCTCTCTCCTGCAACAGGGCCTTATTACATGCTATTCCCTGATGCACTTTTCTTATTAACCTTATTTGCTTTATTAACTCTTATTTATCTTTCTCTTTTCATTCTCTTTCTTTCTTTTTTTTTAGACGCGTCTTGCTATGTCACCCAGGCCGGAATGCAGTAGTCCTATCCTGGCTCACTGCAGCCTTGAACTTCTGGGCTCAAGCAGTCCTCCTAATTCAGACTCCTGAATAGCTGAGACCACAGGCATGCACCACCGCCATGCCTGGCTAATTAACTTTTTTTTTTTTGTAGAGACAGTTCTCACAATGTTGCCCACGATGGCCTACTTATCTTTCAAATCTCTGTTGTCATATTCTCAGGAAAGCTTTTTCTGACTTCTCTGACTAGGTGAAATCCCACCTTTTTTTCTCATGACCTTCTCCGGTGCAACTATACATGTAATTGTGATTGTTTCATTAATAACTGTCTCTTTCACTGTATTTTAAGGTCCATGAGGGCTGGAATCCAAGTCTGGTTTTGCCCACCATTGTATTTCCAGAACCGAAGGGCCTAATACATACAGGGAGCTCAAACATTAGTTTTCAATAGGATGAATGAGCCAGGCGCGGTGGCTCACGCCTGTAATCCCAGCACTTTGGGAGGCCGAGGCGGGCGAATCACGAGGTCAGGAGATTGAGACCATCCTGGCTAACATGGTGAAACCCCGTCTCTACTAAAAATACAAAAAATTATCTGGGCGTGGTGGCAGGCGCCTGTAGTCCCAGCTACTCTGGAGGCTGAGGCAGGAGAATAGCATGCACCTGGGAGGCGGAACTTGCAGTGAGCTGAGATCGCGCCACTGCACTCCAGCCTGGGGACAGAGCGAGACTCCGTCTCAAAAAAAAAAAAAAAAAAAAAAAAAAAGGATGAATGAATAAATGACTGAAATAATTAACCTTAGTCCCCACCTGTAAAAGAGGGGCATGGGGTCACTTGGAAGATTGGATGACATAAAGTATCTACCCAGCCTAGCATGTGGGAAGTTCTCAATAAGTAGCTGCAATAACTTCAGTTAAATGGGGCTTGATAGTTTATTTAGTAAAATTAGCTGTTTTGCTTCCATCCTTTCAAAAAGCTTTAAACTTAGTAGAATTTGATTTATTTTATGTTTGCATAAACACAGGAATAATAATTTAGAGATTTAGAATAAGTTTTAACTGTATTTAGCTATATTTACCTAGTAATAGACAGTGTTTCTTACATTAAATCTTAACCATACATTGACTTTTCTTTCATGTATGACTTCTTCAAAGTACATAAAACATTTTAGGGAAGAAGGGACCTGTTTAGCCGATATGGTTGTTTCTAACTAGAATATCTACTCATTGAATTATTTGTTCAGGAAATCTGGAGGCTTGAGAATGTAAATTCCCTCTTATTTGAGGGAACATTTAGGATATTATCCAACATTTAGGCTCTTATCCAACACTGGATTGAAGTATATATTTTTGGAATGTAGCCCTGTATCTGAAATGGTTTAGAAGCTCCATCCCCCATTAGGAGGAACAGGTACATTCACCTATAATAAATTATGTAATGGCATAGGTATTTGTTGTACAGTAGAATGCAGTGGTATTTCACTGTTTTGAATTCTTTAGGCTACTATGATCCTGTAAATGTGAATTTGTATAGGAGTTAGAATAAAAATCACTGGCCGGGTGTGGTGGCTCACACTTGTAATCCCAGCACTAATTTTAAATGGTTTATTAGGAAGCTAAAATTCTCTACATATATACTGAGGGTGTGAGTGAAAAAGACTCTTAGGTTTGTAGCAAGTACAATAACCTTACAATGGAATTCAGTTCTAGGCAGAAGATGAAATACTTGAGTTCCAAGAAAGAGTCCTATAAGTCTGAGACATCATCACGGCATTTCAACACCAGGCAGGGCCAGGGATTGTGGCAGTAGACAAACGATTCTGTTTTTTTTTTTTAATTATTCTTTTTTATTATACCTTAAGTTCTGGGAGACATGTGCAGAACGTGCAGGTTTTTACATAGGTGTACATGTGCCATGGTGGTTAGCTGCACCCATCAACCCATCATCTAGGTTTTAAGCCCTGCATGCATTACATATTTGTCCTGATGCTCTCCCTCCCCTTGTCCCCCATCCCCCGACAGGCCCCGGTGTGGTGTTCCCCTCCCTGTGTCCATGTGTTCTCATTGTTCAACTCCAACTTATGATTGAGAATATGTGGTGTTTGGTTTTCTGTTCCTGTGTTAGTTTGCTGAGAATGATGATTTCCAGATTGATCCATGTGCCTGCAAAGGACATGAACTCATTCTTTTTTATGGCTGCATAGTATTCCGTGGTGTATATGTGCCACATTTTCTTTATCCAGTCTATCATTGCTGGGCATTTGGGTTGGTTCCAAGTCTTTGCTGTTGTAAATAGTGCTACAATAAACATACCTGTGCATGTGTCTTTATAGTAGAATGATTTATAATCCTTTGGGTATATACCCAGTAATGGGATTCCTGGGTCAAATGGTATTTCTGGTTCCAGATCCTTGAGGAATCACCACACTGTCTTCCACAATGGTTGAACTAATTTACACTCCCACCAAGAGTGTAAAAGTATTCCTATTTCCCCACATCCTCTCCAGCATCTGTTGTTTCCTGACTTTTTAATGATCTCCATTCTAACTGTTGTGAGATAGTATCTCATTGTGGTTTTGATCTGCATTTCTCTAATGACCAGTGATGATGAGCTTTTTTTCATATGTTTGTTGGCTGCATAAATGTCTTCTTTTGAGAAGTGTCTGTTCATATCCTTCCCCCACTTTTTGATAGGGCTGTTTTTCTTTCTTGTAACTTTACTTAAGTTCCTTGTAGATTCTGGGTATGATGTCAGATGGATGGATTGAAGAAATTTTCTCCTATTCTGTAGGTTGCCTGTTCACTTTGATGATAGTTTCTCTTGCTGTGCAGAAGCTCTTTAGATTAATTAGATCCCATTAGTTGATTTTGGCTTTTGTTTCCATTGCTTTTGGTGTTTTAGTCATGAAGTCTTTGCCCATGCCTATGTCCTGAATGGTATTGCCAGGGTTTCTTTCCAGGGTTTTTATGGTTTTAGGTTTTACGTTTAAGTCTTTAATCCACCTTGAGTTAATTTTTGTATGAGGTGTAAGGAAGGGGTCCAGTTTCAGTTTTCTGCATATGGCTAGCCAGTTTTCCCAACACCATTAATTAAATAGGGAATCCTTTCCCCATTGCTTGTTTTTGTCAGGTTAGACCAACAACTCTTTTCATGTATTTGGCATTCATTTCCCAAGAACTTCATACAATTGATAAAATAAGTTTTTTTCCTCCATCTTCATAACTACTTTTCAAGTTATTACAAATCATGATACTTTTTAAGTCTAAGATAATGTAAAATACCCTCTGTCAGCCCATAGTACCTGAAGGGTAAGTACCTCTTCCATGAAGTCACTAGCATCATGGCTTAGCAGGTGTTATAAAATGAATCAGCTGGGATCAGGAAGGATTTGGTATGCTTTCAGTAATAGAGAGAGAATTTTAACAAAAATCTCGAGTATATTTTAATACCCATTTTTCATCAATTTATACTGAGTACTTTATGTTCCAGAATTATGCAGAAAAAAATGCATGTATTCTTTTTTTCTTATAATTGCTCTCCAAATAGCAAATGGATTTATTTATTTCTCTTCTGAATTATATACTCACTGTATGAAAAAAAAAAAACCTCAAACATTTCCTAAAATTATAAAAGCAAAAATCTCAGAAAGAATTCTTTAAGTATATTTGAGACATCATAGTGGCATTTCTGGTTAATATTTGGTGAATATTTACTTTAAAATTCCATATTGCTAGTCATTAGATTCCAGACATCTGGAGGTTTGGGGACAGGTTGTTTTGCTAGAATAAGTAGTGTTGTGATAGGCATGCTTTTTTATATTTGCACATTTGTGTTTTCTTAGGATAGATTCATGAAAATAGACTTTAAGTCAAATGTGTGCATATTTAAAATTTCTAATAATACTGCTAATATGCTCCCTAAAACATTATTCCAGTTTGCCTTTCTAACCATTCTATGAGAGTGACTATTTCCCCAAAACCTGACCAATAGCAAGCTTTGTCAAAATTTTAAATCAGTGCTTACCTGGTATGTGACACAGAATATCTAATTGTTCCGTTTTTTCTGTGTTTACTTCAGAAGTTGAGCATATTTTCTTATAGTCATTGGACATTTGCTTTTTCTTCTGTGAATTCAAGTTCATATCCTTTTTCCATGTTTTAATTGAGAGGCTTGTCCTTTATTTATTTATTTTCTGAAGTATCCTATTTAAAAATGCAAATATTCTCCCATTTTCTATTTATCTTTCAAACCTACTTTCAGTATTTTTCCTTTTATTTTGTGTTTCACCATACAAGACATTTTCAACTTATATGAAAACTCATGCCTATCAATTTTTCCATTTACGGTTTCTGGTTGTGTTCAGTTGCTTAAAATAGCTTCTTGCAGCCAAATTATAAAAATATTGGCCCTTCTAGTACATTTATAATTTAACATTATCACTCATACCAACTGGATTCTGGATGATTTTAAATTAGTGCTTAGGTCAGGCGCAGTGGCTCACGCCTGTAATCCCAGAACGTTGGGAGGTGGAGGTGGGTGGATCACCTGAGGTCAGGAGTTCAAGACCAGCCTGGACAAGATGGTGAAGTCCCATCTTTCCAAAAAAAAAAAAAAATTAGCTGGGCATGATGGCAGGTGCCTGTAAGTCCAGCTACTTGGGAGGCTGAGGCGGGAGAATCGCTGGAACCCGGGAGGCAGAGGTTGCAGTGAGCCGAGTCACACCACTGCACTCCAGCCTGGGTGACAGAGAGACTCTGTCTCAAAAATAAATAAATAAATAAATAAATAAGTGCTTATCTGGTAGATGAAGCAGAATATCTCATTGTTTCATTTTTTCTTTGTTTACTTCAGAAGTTTAGCATATTTTCTTATATTCATTGGACATTTGCATTTTTTTTTCTGTGAATCATCCAGAATCCATTTGGTATGAATGATAAAGCCAAGTTGCTTATTGGCATGCTCTCAAGGCCAACCGTGGTGGATGGATAAGTTTGGACGATGAAAGATAATAAAGGAGGATGATCCTATGTGAAATTTTGATTCAAAGCATGACAATTCTCACCCCAAATTAATCTATAGTTGCCAGAGCTAACAAAAATGAAGAACAATCAGTTACATTTGCATTACAGATAAACAAGTTTCTTAGTATGTTTCATAGTGTATTTTATCTTAGTATGTTTCATATTGTATAGTATGTTTCATATTGTATTTTATATGTATTGTATTTCATATTGTATTAAATTTGTGTTAATTTTAACACAAAATTAAGTGGAATAAGTAAATAAAAATACAGTGATATTTGAAATGACAGCCAGAAAGTCATAAAATTTACTGATACCTTATGAATTGAGATACTTAGGTTATTCAGAATTTTTTTTTAGAAAACTATATTATATTCTGCTGGGCGCAGTGGCTCACGCCTGTAATCCCAGCACTTTGGGAGGCCGAGGCGGGTGGATCACCTGAGATCAGGAGTTCGAGACCAGTCTGATCAACATGGAGAAACCCCGTCTCTACTAAAAATACAAAATTAGCCAGGCGCAGTGGTGCATGCCTGTAATCCCAGCCACTCGGGAGGCTGAGACAGGAGAATCGCTTGAACCCGGGAGGTGGAGGTTGTGGTGAGCCGAGATTGCGCCATTGCACTCCAGCCTGGGCAACAGAGCAGGACTCTGTCTCAAAAGAAAAAAAAAAAAGAAAACTATATTATATCCTAAAGATGACCCACATTCTCACTTCATTATCTCTACAGAGCTATTGTTTTTCAATGTATGATGTTTCTACACAACCAAATAGAACTTTGAGTCCAGCTTTATCCAAGACCTAACATAGAGTTAATCACATGCAATAGGGATGTTATTCTATTTTTTTTTCAAATAGCAAGGATTCTTGTTTTGTTAACTATGTTAATGGTTCTCAACTCTGGCCATATATTAGAATTACATGGGGAGATTAAGAAAAATAAGATGACAAGAACCTTCACACAGAGTATGATTTATGTTGATCTAGAAGGGGGTCTTTTATAAATTATTCAATCTCCCAATGCCTCAGTTTCTTTACTAGTAAAGTGGGGGATAAAAGTATTTCCTATGTCAGAGCATCACTGTGAGGATTAAATGCTGAATGCGTGTGGTGTTTTAGAAGATGTCTGACTTCTAATAACCCTTCAATAAATGAAAGTCATTATATTATTATATTTTGAAATCATAATAGGGATTCATAGCTCACCAAAAACAAAACTAGAATGTAGACATGGAACAAAGTATGGATAGATGATGGTGGGTGCTAGAACAGGCTTATACCTGCTTGCAAGAGCTGATTATGTGCATCTCTTCCCATGTTTTTAGTAATGTCAGGTTCGAAAATTAGCCATGGTCGCCAGGCACAGTGGCTCACGCCTGGAATCTCCAAACTTTGGGAGGCTGAAGCCGGTGGATCATCTGAGGTCAGGAGTTTGAGACCAGCCTTACCAATGTGGTGAAACCTTATCTCTACTAAAAATACAAAAATTAGCCAGGCGTGGTGGTGAGAGGTGACAGCGCGCTGGCAGTCCTCACAGCCCTCGCTCGCTCTCCGCGCCTCCTCTGCCTGGGCTCCCACTTTGGCGGCACTTGAGGAGCCCTTCAGCCCACCCCTGCACTGTGGGAGCCCCTTTCTGGGCTGGCCAAGGCCAGAGCCGGCTCTCTCAGCTTGCAGGGAGGTGTGGAGGGAGAGGCGCGAGCGGGAACCAGGGCTGCCTGCGGCGCTTGCGGACCAGCTGGAGTTCCGGGTGGGCGTGGGCTTGGCGGGCCCCGCACTCGGAGCAGCCGGCCGGCCCTGCCAGCCCTGGGCAATGAGGGGCTTAGCACCCGGCCCAGCGGCTGCGGAGGGTGTACTGGGTCCCCCCGCAGTGCCAGCCCACCAGCGCTGCGCTCGATTTCTCCCCGGGCCTTAGCTGCCTTCCTGTGGGGCAGGGCTCGGGACCTGCAGCCCGCCATGCCTAAGCCTCCCACCCCCTCCGTGGGCTCCTGTGCGGCCCGAGCCTCCTCCATCCCTGCTCTGAGGCGCCCAGTCCCAGCGACCACCCAAGGGCTGAGGAGTGCAGGCACACGGCGCAGGACTGGCAGGCAGCTCCACCTGCAGGCCCGGTGTGGGATCCACTGGGTGAAGCCAGCTGGGCTCCTGAGTCTTGGAGAACCTTTAAGTCTAGCTCAGGGATTGTAAATACACCAATAGGCATTCTGTCTCTAGCTCAAGGTTTGTAAACACACCAATCAGCACCGTGTGTCTAACTCAGGGTTTGTGAATGCACCAATCGACACTGTATCTAGCTACTCTGGTGGGGCCTTGGAGAACCTTTGTGTAGACACTGTATCTAGCTAATCTGGTAGGGAGGTGGAGAACCTTTGTGTCTAGCTCAGGGATTGTAAACGCACCAATCAGTGCCCTGTCAAAACAGACCACTCGGCTCTACCAATCAGCAGGACGTGGGTGGGGCCGGATAAGAGAATAAAAGCAGTCTGCCCCTAGCCAGCAGTGGCAACCCTTTCGGGTCCCCTTCCACACTGTGGTAGCTTTGTTCTTTCGCTCTTTGCAATAAATCGTGCTACTGCTCACTCTTTGGGTCCACACTGCTTTCATGAGCTGTAACACTCACCGCGAAAGTCTGCAGCTTCGCTCCCGAAGCCAGCGAGACCACGATACCACCAGGAAGAACGAACAACTCCAGATGCGCCACCTTAAGAGCTGTAACACTCACCGCGAAGGCCTGCAGCTTCACTTCTGAGCCAGCGAGACGACGAACCCACCAGAAGGAAGAAACTCCGAACACATCCGAACATCAGAAGGAACAAACTCCAGACGCGCCACCTTAAGAGCTGTAACACTCAACGCGAGGGTCTGCGGCTTCATTCTTGAAGTCAGTGAGACCAGGAACCCACCAATTCCGGACACAGTGACGGGTGCCTGTAATCCCATCTACTTGGGAGGCTGAGACAGGAGAATTGCTTGAACCTGGGAGGCAGAGGTTGCAGCGAGCTGAGATCGTGCCATTGCACTCCAGCTTGGGTGACAGAGCGAGACTCCATCTCAAAAAAAAAAAAAAAAAAGAAAGAAAAGAAAAGAGAATTAGCCGTGGTCAATGTGTTTACAACACAGACATCCCCAGATGTTGGAATTTATTTTTTTAACCCCAGGAAGCCAGTTATTAACATGCACCACCAAAGGAGAGGATAGAGGTAGCTGACAGGGAAGTCTAAGAAGATACTAAAGGTTATTACCTTCACTTACTTCATGTTTTGACCTGGGCTTGGACTCAGCCAGTTGTGACATCTGTCATTCATGGAACAATCGCCTGAGCTTCAGGTCCCAAGAGATAGTGGACAGAAGAGCATGGTGAGGCTTCACTTGGCTTTGAATATAGAATAACCAGGGTGTGATTGAGCTTTAAATTTATCTTTATCCTAAGATTGGGGTAAGTTATTTAATCCTTTTCTCAAAAACCTAAGGGTTTTTTTGAGGATATGCTCAGGTGGCACAGCAAGCCACAAGATAACATGGGCTATCTAACATTATTTCAATTTACATATATATATATATATATATATATACTTGAAATACAGACCAAAGTAAATTAATAAATGATAATACAAGCCCACTGAAGGCCTACTTTAGGTTAGTGTTGGAACTCCCCAGCTACCTGTTCACTGGTCTTTGCTTTTGTTGCGTACTTAGATGGAAATGAACGGAAAATACAAGAGTATCTCCATGCCTCTGCTTCCCCACTGAACAGAGCAGGATGGTTGTCAGAATGAAAGGAAATCATGGATGTGGGCCATGGAGTAGTGGCAGTAGCTCCTGTTTTGTTTTGTTTTGTTTTGTTTTTGAGACGGAGTCTTGCTCTGTCACCTAGGCTGGAGTGCAATGGCCCGATCTCGGCTCACTGCAACCTCCGCCTCCCGGGTTCATGCCATTCTCCTGCTTCAGCCTCCCAAGTAGCTGGGACTACAGGCGCCTGCCACCATGCCCGGCTAATTTTTTGTATTTTTAGTAGAGACGGGGTTTCACCGTGTTAACCAGGATGGTCTCGATCGCCTGACCTCGTGATCCGCCTGCCTCGGCCTCCCAAAGTGCTGGGATTACAGGCGTGAGCCACTGAGCCCGGCTGCTCCTCTGTTTTTAGGAAGGTTTGTTGGGTCAGCTTATGGCTTAGGAGTTTAGCGATTAGTAAGCACCCAACCCAGGGTCTGAACATTGACTCAAGGCCTCAGTAGCCCTAAGTGCTCCCTGAGAACACAAATCCTAATAGACTAAACATGGAAAGAGCCAGAGTCTCATTGCCTGAAAAATTATTTTTGCCGATCTTTACAAAAATCAGCATTTGTTATTGTTCAATTTTGCCTTTATTTGACTTGCTTTAATGAAAGAAACATAGTAAAGATTTTCTACAAATGATTGAAACATTCTTCACTTATGGAATCACATTTATTTATTTATTTATTTATTTATTTATTTATTTATTTATTTTTGAGACGGAGTTTTGCTCTTGTTGCCCAGGCAAGAGTACAATGGTGCAATCTCTGCTCACTGCAACCTCCGCCTCCCAGGTTCAAGCGATTTTCCTGCCTCAGCCTCCCAAGTAGCTGGGATTACAGGCATGTGCCACCATGCCTGGCTAATTTTGTATTTTTAGTAGAGATTGGGTTTCTCCATGTTGGTCAGGCTGGTCCTGAACTCCCGACCTCAGGTGATCCGCCCGCCTCTGCTTCCCAAAGTGCTGGGATTACAAGTGTGAGCCACCGCGCCCAGCCGGAATTACATTTTTTTTTTAAAAGCGTTTTGTATCATTCTGCTAATTCACAGTAGATTGCAAATATGCAACATTGTTATTTCAATTTTTTTCTATGAATCTGAACAAAATCATACGTAAAAAACTTCAATGTGAGTTTTAATTTCTTAATTTTAAAAAACCAAACCACAATTTTACTATTTTTGCAAGAAAGATAAATCACATAAGACTTACCTATACAAATAATTCAACTATAAATTTACCTTTTTACAAATTTTCTTCTTTGGAAGCAGCAGATATGTAAAATCATTACATATTATGTTCATGCTGTATGTACATAAAATGGACTACAGACCCCAAAAGTAAATTCTTTGGAGATTTGGTTCCAAAGAGGGAAAACAAACCCTCTTTGTCTGAGTATGTGAAAGGTACCAAAAAAGAGTGAAAACCAGTTTTCCTCTTTTTTTTTTTTCTTTACTCTTTTGTTTTTGTAGGAGAACCAGCAGTGGAAGAAAAGATCACTTCCTTTGTAGACACTTTATGGGTTTCGGATTCTGTAAACTCTGGCACATAACTTGACCCCAAAGTTAATGAAATCCTGTTAGACTTTCCCTGCCCTCCTTCCTGCTTCCATCCTTCAGATTATCTCACGTTTTAAAAATTCAATTTCTATTTGTATACACGTGATCTTCATGTCATTGGCTTTTTATGCAGACACATTTCACCTACATCCTTTCCTTCCCTCATCTGGCAGCCAGTTGAGCTTCTTCCTGCCTTGAATACCACATTCCCTAGTTCTTCAAGCTCAGTCATTAGCACCCTGTCCCCCTACTAAAATTATGAATGAAAAGCCTTGTTGTTCTTTACAAATAACTCAGGCTGCCTCAGTCAGTCAAATTCGAATGGAAGTGACTGCCAGACAAAGGGGCGGGATGATGGACAGTGCTCACAGCAAGTCATCAATGCCCACAGGAAGTTTTTTAAGCCACAGTATAGGTAGAGAGGCTTGGGCGTTCCCAGAGGACAAGCTTACAGAAGGAGGCTGGGAGGTGGGGGGAGGGGGACTTTCTGTGTCTGTTTGGAACTTAGAAAAAACTTCCATGAAGCTCAGAGATAACAATGTACAGAGTCAGTTTTGCCCTACCAAGAACTTAAAAATCCAGCCGTGGAGACATCTACACCTTGCAGTAATTCTGGTTTGCACCGACACACACAGACAAAAGTGAAGGCACCAACCATTTACTTGGTTTTGAATGCTGAACGGTGCAAGGGTGGCTTACATACTTGGAGCTGCACAACTCCCTGCTGAGAAGTTGCATTGTCTTGGGCCCCTCTTTCACAACAGGGGAAAAGGTAATTGACAGCCCGATTGTTTGGCTGGGACCCCTGCTGTTTTAAAATCCTAGAAGGCCCCAGTCACACGTTGTCAATAATAGCCGTCGGAGGTGAGGAGTGAAGAAGGGCTGTTCAGGAAACAGTTTGAGCCCTTCAAGTGGACAGGCCTCAGTGACTTCTGCACTCTGGCTCCCACAAGCAGCTCATTCAAAAATAACCTTAAAGTAATAAATCAAACTTGTTTCCTGAACTATACAAGGAACAGCTGGTTATTTTTCCTCACTTTTTTTTTCCAAAAGCCAAAAAAAAAAAAAAAAAAAAGAATGAGATTTTACTACAGGAAACCAAGCATGTCAAAATTTGGCAAAGCAATTTGGATGATTTAACAGTTAAACACTTCTCTTTTTAATGTTATGCTTTCATCAGTCTTTTTTATTTAAGCTTTTCAGTTTTGCATTCTGTTTGCTGCAATTAGTGTCCCTTATCTGTTCACTCCCTACTTTTGAAAGGAAAATGAGTTTAGGATCCTGTCTTTAGAGTATTTTGCTGTGTAATTTCTAATGTACTGGTCAAGTAGCTCAACTTATTTTACAGGTAAAATTTGTTTTCTTCCACAGAGTTGAGTTTGGATTTAGATCTACAGCTCCACATATTTGTTTCTCCTGAGACCCATATATTTTGGAGTTCTGATGACAAGGCAGTTTTTCTTTAGTCTATTGATTTAGGAACCCTGACCTAGGAGTGCATATGCTGTAACTGAAGTAGTCTGGTGCTTTAAGTAAGAGCATTTTGCAATTTTTCTGTCTCTTTGGATCTCTGTTTGTGTCTTACTTTGTGTGTCTCTTTCTCTCTTTAAACATGTTGCACTCTAGATTCTGGAAAAAAGCATCTTCTCTTTGACTTTACAAATAATTAAAATAGAGGCATAAATAAACAATGTAAAATAATTTCCTTCTGTGATGATTACTATGTATCTTTATTTTTATAGATGACTAATGTTTTGAACAGAAACCATTTTAAATGACAATTTTTTAAATCAAAGAAATTTTGATCTTAAAAATTGTGCATCTTAGAGATGAGTTTTTCACAACTTGTGGACATCTAAAATTAAGAATGAATGTGTCAGATTTTAATGCACTGTGTCTATTTCAATCAATTTAAATATGATTGAACTGTTAATATTAAAATTAAGTATAAGGTTATGTAAAACATCTCTTTTCACAGGATAGTTTGATCACTATTTAATGAATTAAAAGAAGTGCTGGTCAGTTTAACAGTATATGGAAAATTACAAGTTATACTTTGAGATATTGTCATACATGTATCATAAATTTATTTTTCTCCTTTGACCATCCTTTCATAATAAAATGTTTGTAATGAAACGTATGCTTACAGGAAGATAATACAATTCAATTTACAATGGAATTAGGTCGTGGTAGCCTTCATTTTCTTTTATATTTGCAGTAAACAACCATGCCATAATAGCACAAATAAATCCAGCTTTATGCTATATGGTTAGACTAACACACTTGGTATACTTGCAGTATCTTGGCTGATACAACTGTGAATCCACATGGGTGTGGCTTCTATATAAATGTTTCTTCCATATATGGTTGATATTCATACTGAACCTGTTTTGATACAATTTTTCTTCACTTTCAGCATTTTCAGCTTCAAACATGTGCTACCTGACTAGATGGAATTCCTTGAGAACTGTATTAACATGTTTCAAAGAGTTGAATTAACAGGTTAGTACCATGTCAGAAAAGAGTGTTCCTTGAAAAGTTGCACAGTAGTTATACAGACAGTTCACAAACAATTATGTAATTCATAATTTATATGTGAGTTACACATTGAAAATACCATCTTTAAAATAAATATTCAGTTCTATAGATGATTCATTTCTTTCTCATTAAGTCTAAGCCTTTTGTGGTGCTAAAGGATACTCAGGAATTGATGAACTAAGTGGACCCTCCTGCAGCCTCCGTCACTCCCTCCCTTGGCTTCTGTGGACTCTGGGCCTTAGTAGGGATGAGATAGTGAGTGTAGACTGAAAGTGCTCTGTACAGACTTGCTTTGTGGCCTCCTGTTCAGCTGCCAGTCTCACAGCTTGCCCTGAGAATGGACTTCCTGTGCTGTCATTTACACTCAGTATCACACTAAGGGCTCTTTGTCACTCAGTCTTTGAGACAGAAGGGGGCGAGATAACAAATCTAGACTGCTTGTGTTGACTTTGTGGATAAAGTAAAGGGCTGGAGTCAAGAACCCTGGGTCTTATCCTAACTCTGCAACTGCCTTTCCTGTGACATTGAGCCAGCTTTTGACCTCTCCATTCCTCAGTTTTCCTCATCTATGAAATGAGGATCCCTATACTGTGTTCTCTTATTTTATTACAGAGATGTGGTTTCTGAAAGAGTTTCTAAATGCTTAAAGCCCTTAGTAAAAGATTTTTTTCTACAAGTAGATAAAATGACCTTTTTCTGCTTTGGAGAGATGGGATGGATACCGCAGTTGATTAATTACTCCCTACTCCCAGAAATACTTCTCTTTAGAACCTCGTAAGTAGGGCCTTTCCCTTCTACCGTTGTAAGTTTTTTCTCATTATTTCATTTTGTGTGCTGTCTCTTCCCCCTGCAATATTTCCTTCCTTTCTATGTGGGAAATGATAGCCCCATGCTATGGGATCAGGGTGCGTAGAAGTTGGTAAATATAAAGTACACTTATAAAAGGCTGTGTTCAAAGTGCATCTGCAGAGACGTGGAGGAAAACAAGGAGAGCATGCTGAGTGACAGGAATGAATGAGGGCACACAGTAAAGGCCATGGAAGCTTCAGCAAATTTATTGGCTTCAGAAACATAAATCCACAAAAGCAGCTACCACCTGGCTAGATGGGTCTCTGGGTCCTGGGCCCACTAATTTAGAAGGATCTTTTTGTAAAGAGATGATGTTGGACAGGGGTCAGAACCTATAGTGAAATTCAGGGATTCTCTCTATGGAGTGGGATGAAGTGTCTCTTCCACTGATATCAGTAGTTATATTCTTTTGCTTATTTAGTTCAATTATGTGAATAAATGGAATGAAAAGCGATTTACTCTACTTCAGTTAGAATTTGTAAAATATTGTGATTTTTTTTTCTTTTTTTTTTTTTTTTTGAGATGGAGTTTCGCTCTTGTTGCCCAGGCTGGAGTGCAATGCTGCGATCTCGACTCACCGTAACCTCCGCTTCTGGGGTTCAAGTGATTCTCCTGCCTCAGCCTCCCAAGTAGCTAGAATTACAGGTATGAGCCACCACACGCCCGGCCAGTATTGTGAGTTTTAAAGAATGCATTTTAATATGTTTCACTTTTTAAAGCTCCTAAGTGGTTTTGTTGCTAATTTTTTTAAATTTTGTTTTGTGAAGAGATTGGTAACATAAATTGTAAAGCAGAAATTAATTCACCTAGCTTTCCTCATCACAGTTTAAGACGGATATTTGTGTTCTGGTTTGCTTATTTGTTTTTCCGGGTCCACACATTCACTCATATGTGTTTAGATTTTTCATGTGGAAGGCAGTGATATAATTTCAGGCCTATATGTTTTGACCCTCTGTTCACACATGGTTGTTATATGCCCTGACATTGTGTTTACTTCACATTTCCTATTTTTCCACTGTATATCTGAGGATATTTCATGCTATTTTGTTACCTAAAGAGAGGCTACTGCTACATGGGGAGACATATATACATATATGTAGGAGTACACCTATGTGTGCATGTGTGTGTATTTATAAATCTCTCTCCATGTAGCAGTACACATATATATATGTATATATAATTTGTTTTTATGAGAAGGATGTGAAAAGATACACAAGTCTGTTTATAATACAGATCTGAAGGAGAGATAGGCAAATATTGATTTAAAAAAAATTTCCCCTGATTTGTTTCACTTTGTACAACAAACAGGTATTACTTTCTTAATTAAAAACATCAATAAAAAATGTTTCAATACTGATTAAAAACAGTTAAAGAGGAAATTTAACAGTGGCAAATAATATCTGTATTTTATAAGGGTTTTGCCAGTCTTGACAAAGTATCTAGAAATTCGCTAAAAGACAGTTTCTTTTGTTTTTCAGAGCACACATTAAAAAAAAAAAAAAATCGCAATGATTAGTGCTCCCTCTGCTGGTTTCCCTGCAACAGTTTGTTGCGGTGATTTGGGAGGATGAAAAGACAGCAAGGAAAATTCTGTTACTTTTGGTCTTTAAACATTATTTCTATATACAAGTGTTATCCTTGATTGGTAGCAAATGCCAATGTAGTTTCTGAAAATTTATTCTTTCTTAAAATTCAATAGTGATTCTGAAGTTGGGCTAGATAATTATAATCCTTTTAAAATTAATTCCTCCTTTCTTATATCATGAAGCAGGACATAAAGCATAACAATTCTTATTTATTGGGATTTTTCTTGGGTAGGAGTTAACCTTATATAGCTAACTCTCAGTAACTTGACCTAGCAGTAGTAAAGTTGGCTATTTGAACATCAAGCTGACACTCTAGTAAGCAAAATAGAGGTTTGGAGTGACATTATCACTGGAGAATTACATTCTGTAATTGAACACTTTGCTGTATCATTATTTTAGTCTACATCATCCTATGTGAAAGATATTTGGAAATTGCATAGTTGATTTAATTTATCTTGATATCCATACTATAATTAAAGATTCTTAGAATTCATTGGATTCATCAATTTGCTCTCTGTGAATTTGTACTTTCATGAATCAGAGTATGTTGATCCATATACAGTGTTCATTTAACTAATACTTGTATTAAATCACTTCTAAATGCTTATTATACCCTGTATTATAGTATTATATTCTGAGTCTTAAAGGTGCTTAATGTGAAGATTCTCTCTCTACATATTCAACTCTTACTAACTTTTGGCTTTAGGTAGAAATCAGTTAGTGTATTATATGATAAAATAGGAAACTATTTCCCTAGGGGTATAGGTATTCAGTAGGGAGCTTTGGAGTCTCAATGAGCTTCTTAAAGAAGCATTTTTAATGGTAGGTTTTAGGGAGAGTTTTTGTAGTAAGATAAAGTAGATGAGAAAGTGTTGCCTCTAAACAATCAACAAGCTGGGAATGGGGTGCAGAATGAGGAGAACCCTAAGCAATAGGCAATAAGGAGTGAAAGGAAGGAGGTGTCACTCATTGGGAAAGAAAAGGAACTGTATGTCCTCTACTGAGAGCTGCTGTCTTCTTAAAAGTCATTTTTGTGAGGTGTGCTTGCGGAATGGTAAAACAGAAAGGAAATAACAGAGTAGAAGGTCAGATCTCCCAAATCAACCTTACTCATCACTGGTGTGCAAGATACCATCATCAGATCATTTTAACACTCTGGAAAATACCACGGAGAGGTTTAGCAAGTGACAATTAACATCAGGGAGAAGCAGTTTCTAATAAGGAGATCCAGCCATTGCTGCTGGAGTTTAGATGTGGAATTTCTAGGCTCTGGAAAGTGTAGAGGCAGAAATGAGGTGATTACTTTCCTCTCCATCATAAGCATTATGGCTAACACCCCTATAACAAAGGCAGGTTATCAAGAAAAAAGAATAATACATTTATTTAAGCACAGTTTGATATGATATGGGAGGCTTCAGAATGAAGACCCAAAGATGCAGGGAAAATTGTTGCGTTTTATGCTGATGTTCAATGAAGTATGGATAGCCATATAAAATATGATTGGACAAAAAGGATAAAATCTAATGCTTTGATGCTAATAGACAGAGTCAGGAAACTCGGCAAAGCCTGTCCAGATTTTTCTTGGTCTTTCTGTACAGCATTATTTTGTTGACAAAAAAAGCCAAACTCTGTAAGATATTTGAAGAGGTTTATTCTGAGCCAAATATGAGTGGCAGGGCCTTTGACACAGCCTCAGGAGGCCCTAAGAACATGCACCTAAGAGGATTGTGTTACAGCTTGGTTTAATACATTTTAGGGAGACAGAAGTTATAGGCATGTAAGGTATACATTGGTTTGGCCCAGAAAGGTGGGACATCTCAAAGTGAGGGGGGAAGGTGGGGAAGGGGAGCTTCTTCGTCATAGATGGATTCAAAGATTTTCTGATTGACAATTGGTTGAAATAATTAAGCTTGGCTGGGTGTGGTGGTTCACGCCTGTAATCCCAGCACTTCAGGAGGCCAAGGGAGGTGGATTGCTTGAGCTCAGGAGTTCAAAGCCAGCCTGGGCAACATGGCAAAAACCCGTCTCTACTAAAAATACAAACATTAGCTGGGTGTGGTGGCACATGCCTGTAAACCCAGCTACTTGGGAGGCTGAGGTAGGAGTATTGCTGGAGCCTGGGAAGTCAAGGCTGCAGTGAGTTGTGATTGCACCACTGCATTGCAGCCTGGGTGACAGAGTGAGACCCTATCTCAAAAACAAAACAAAACAAAACAAAAATAATGATAATAATTAAGCTTTGCCTGATGACTTGAAGTCAGCATAAAGAAATGCTTGAGTTAAGATAAGGAGGTTTGTGGAAATCAAGGTTCTTACTATGTAGGTGAAGCCTCTTAAATAATAGATGTAAATGTCTCTTATGGGACATAAAAGATGCCAGACTCTTACTTAAATCTCTCCTGGGTCAGGAAAAGACAAGGAAAGGGAAGGGGATTATTTACTGAATGTAGATTTTCCCCACAAGAGACAGCTTTGCAGGGCCATCCAAAAATATTTCAAATAAATATATTTTGGAGTAAAATACTTTGTTTTTTTTTGGGGGGGGGGCCTGTTATTTGTCATGTGATACTATAAGAGAGTTAGGTTGAATTTGCTATCTTATTGCTACAAAGAATCTGTTTCGTCAGCCTTATGATCTCTATTTCTTTCTTTCTTTCTTTCTTTCTTTTTTTTTGAGATAGTCTTGCTCTGTTGTCCAGGCTGGAGTGCAGTGGTGTGATCTTGGCTCACTGCAACCTCTGTCTCCCGGGTTCAAGCAATTCTCCTGCCTCAGCCTCCCAAGTAGCTGGGATTACAGGCACCTGCCATCATGCCTGGCTAATTTTTGTATTTTTGTAGAGATGGGGTTTTACCATGTTGGCCAGGCTGGTCTTGAACTCCTGACCTCAGGTGATCCACCTGCCTTGGCCTCCCAAAGTGCTGAGATTACAGGCATGAGCCACCACACCCAGCCTATGATCTCTATTTCAGTGTTAATGCTGGTCAGTGGTGTCTTAACTCTGAAGAGAACAGAGTATAATAAGGCATGTCGGACCCCACTTCTTGTCATGGCCTGAACTAGTTCTTCAGGTTTCTTTCAGATCACCTTGGCCTAGAGGGGGGTCTATTCAGTCAGTTGAGAGGCTTAGGATTTTAATTTTTGCTAACGCTTTCCTTTGGGATATGGAGCAGGACCCCTCTGGAATGAGGGTCTAATTTCCTTATGGCCAGGTATTACACAGAAAGATGGGGGAAGGATAGAGTTGTATTTTTAGGCTTTAGGACTGACTTTAGAGAAAAAGCGTTCTAATTTCTATGGCTTGCCTCAGGGAGAATGAGGGGCAAGAGACAGGAGGGCAGAAGGTTGGAGAGAGACTTTGCTTTGCAAGCCTTCGCTTTGGGGTTTCTTTTTCTGAACCCCAACATTTCTCATTCTGAAACTTCCTCAAGAAGTTTCACAGTCCAAAAATTGATTGATAGATTGTCTCATAAGCCATTGAATCAGTCTCTCAGTCCTGATAATAGGCCAGTCTAGCTAAACAGTTAACAGTTGTGTCTCATTTCAGGCAGTGGTGTTGCCGATGGGCTTCCATGAAAGTCGGGGCTCTATACAGTGTGAGCAATGAGATATTTACTTTTGAGTATCACTTCCTGAGCCCCAACAAAGGACTTTAGAGAGTGCTGGGTGTGGATGTTGTGGAGGGGTTGGACTGAGGGGGCATAAATTCTTGGATTCCAGTGCTAGAGGACCTGGAGTCAACAGGGAGTGAATCAAAGCGAAAACAAGACTCAGTTTCTATGGCTGGGCTCTGAGGTCAGGAATACTAATGGTAGGATCCCTGCTCTGGAAAGTGGGATGTGAGTGGCCATGGATAAGGCTGATTTGATACTAACCTCAATATACTGCTACATTCCTTCATCCTGAGACTGAAGAGGGTTTGCACAGGAGTGCATGTTCAGTTTAGGACCTAGAAGCACACAGATAACTGTGCCAAAGGGAGGAATTTTAGGAGACATTATTGGATGAGAGGTCATGCCCCTTGCTTCACAAAGCATGATGTATGGGCTAATGCTTACTTAGCCTGCTCATAAAGTCATTCTACATTAGAGGTTAGAGACTAAAGATACCAGAACACCCATTCTTCAAACAACTTTTACATTTACTTTCAGGACCACATAATTGTTCTCTAACTTTTCATATATTTGTTTTCAGTTTTTTTTCTCTTCAGATGATATACTTTAAGTTTGTTCAATGCAGGAACGTTTTTTCAGAGCTTTTGCATTTCCCCAAGTGCCTAACTTAAATTTTTACCCAGATTACTGTAAATGACAGAGCTGTTAAGGTTTTTTGCTTGTTTGTTTTCTTTTTTTTTTTTTTGAGACGGAGTTTCGCTCTTGTTGCCCAGGCTGGAGTGCAATGGCACGATCTCGGCTCACGGCAACCTCCGCCTCCCGAGTTCAAGCGATTCTCTTGCCTCAGCCTCCCGAGTAGCTGGAATTACAGGCATGCACCACCATGCCCGGCTAATTTTTTGTATTTTTAGTAGAGACGGGGTTTTTCCCTTGAAGAAAGAATTGTCCTAAAAATTTCAGAAAACTATAAGTGGATTTTGCTTATGATAATCAAGCTGATACTTGAAAACAATTGAACACAGGGAACTTTTCATTGAAGGCATATATATATATATAAATATATATATAAAATATGTATATAAATATATAAAAAAAATATAATAAATATATATAATATAAATATATATATAATATAAATATATATAAATATATAAATATATAAATATATATAAATATATAAATATATATAATATATATAATATATTAATATATATATTATATATAATATATATAAATATATAAATATATATATTATATAATATATATTATATAATATATAAATATATATATTATATAATATATATTATATATAAATATATAATATATATAATATATATAAAAACATATAAATATATATAATATATTTATTATATATATATATTTTTTTTGACAGAGTCTTACTCTGTCACCCAGGCTGGAGTGCAGTGGTGTGATCTCAGTTCACCGCAACCTCCACCTCCTGGGTTCGAGCGATTCTCCTGCCTCAGCCTCCCGAGTAGCTGGGATTACAGGCGTGTGCCACCATACCTGGCTAATTTTTTTTTTTTTTTAATGAAAACCACAATTTTGTCATTGGGTGCCACCCGTTTTTGCTTAGATTCACACTATTTCCTTAGTGCTAGTTAGCAGATACTGAAATGATCTTCCCAGACTGTGCAAAATATGGAACGCTTCACGAATTTGTGTGTCATCCTTGGGCAGGGGCCAATGCTAATCTTCTCTGTATCGTTCACAATTGTAGTATATGTGCTGCCAAAGTGAGCCCTAATTTTTGTATTTTTTGTAGAGATGGGGTTTCACCATGTTGGTCAGGCTGGTCTCGAACTCCTGACCTCAAGTGATCTGCCTGCCTCGGCCTCCCAAAGTGCTGGGATTACAGGCGTGAGCCACCGCGCCTGGCTTTTTTTTTTTTTTTTTTTTTGACACAGTCTTGCTTTGTTGCCAAGGCTGGAGTGTAGTGGCGTGCTATCAGCTCACTGCGAGCTCTGCCTCCCAGGTTCAAGCAATTCTTCTGCTTCAGCCTCCCGGGTAGCTGGGACTACAAGTGCACGCCACCATGCCCAGCTAATTTTTTTTTTTTTTTTTTTTTGTATTTTTAGTAGAGATAGGCTTTCACCATGTTGGCCAGGATGGTCTCCATCCCCTGACCTCATGATCCTCCCGCCTTGGCCTCCCAAAGTGCTGGGATTACAGGAGTGAGCCACTGGGCTGGGCCAATGATAGCTATTTTTAAAACTACTCTTTACATTGTTAGAAGAACCATTCATCGAAAGATTACTCATATGTTCTTAAGACTCTAGGAAATGCAGTTTGGAAAGGGAAAGCTTTTATCCATATTCCCTAGGAGATCCACATGGAATAAGTTATATGTTTAGATGGATGCATGTGTCCCTCACCCTTGTGCCACATGAAATCTGACACTAAGCAATGCATTAATCTAAGTAAGGACAGGAAGCATACAAGATCTGTTGGAATTACTTCAAGCCTCACAGCTATCTTTTAGTTTTATACATATTACTTGAGAAAAAAATATGAACCTTGTTTCTTGCCCTCCATACCCTTCTGGTCAGAAGGATAGAGATCCTCCAGATCTATACTACTTAATACGGTAGCGGCCAGGTGCAGTGGCTCACGCCTGTAATTCCAGCATGTTGAGAGGCTGAGGTGGGAGGACTGTTTGGAGCCAAGAGTTCGAGACCAGCCTGGGCAACATAGCAAGACCCCCAACTCTACACAAAAATGAAAAAATTAGCTGTGTGTTGTGGTGCGTGCCTGTAGTTCTGGCTCCTCAGGAGGCTGAGGTGGGAGGACTGCTTGAGCCCAGGGTGGTTGAGGCTCCAGAGAGCTGTGATTGCGCCACTGCCCTCCAACCTGGGTGGTAGAGCCAGACTCTATCTCAAATAAAGCCGAAACCCAAACCAAAATACAGTAGCTATTATGCACATGGGGCTAGTGAGCACTTGAAATGTGCTGAAATATATACCGTGTTTCAAAGACTTAGTGCAAGGCCAGATGTGGTGTGACACCTGTAATCTCAGCATTTTGGGAGGCTGAGGTGGGAGGATCACTTGAGCTCAGGAGTTCAAGGCTGCAGTGAGCTATGATTCTGCCACTGCACTCTGGCCTGGACAACAGAGCAAGACGCTGTCTCAAAAAAAAAGAAAAAAAAATCAAAGACTTGGTACAAAGAAATAAAAAGAATGTGAAATATCTAATTAACTCTTAAAGTATTGATGATATGTTGAAATGATACTGTTTGGATTAAATAAAATGCTAGTAAAGTTATTTTCACCTGTTTCTTTTTACTTTTTCACTATTCATAAATTTTTAGTTACTCACATGGCTCATATTATATTTCTGTTGGACAGAGCTTCCCTAGGCCAATAGTTCTTAATCTTTCTTGATTAAATAATAGATTTCTTTGAGTATAGGATAAAAGCTCTATAAATCATAAATATTGATAGATACTGTCAGTTCTGCTATACCCAGCATGTGTTCTTAAGGTGTGTACTGTGCAATATCATGCAATAGAAACCACAGGGCTGGAATTAGGGGAAAACATTCACAATTTTGTAATTGATACATAAAGGGTTAGGAACTTAATAAAAACAGTAGCACGGTAAATGGTGAAGATCTATATCAATGCTGTAATAAATGTAGCCCTTGAAAAGTATTTCTTTTGTTTGTGGAATGGACATTTGATACAACTGCTCTCAGACAGACACATGCCTTCCCTGTTTCCACGCCGGCAGCCTTGTGTACAAGAGGAGATAGAAAAAGAATGAGGAAAAGGAGCAAAACAACAGAGAACATAGAGGAAAATGCAAAATAGGCTGAGAGGAAAGAAGGAAAAATTAAGGAGAGGGCAGGTGGCCATATGGCTAGTGTGCATGGTTGCAGCTTGCGAGTTATTGGAAAGTAAGGTGTAACTGCAGACATAGAAGGGTGTAGCTGCTCATTGTCCTTGTGCAGTGTGCACATGTGAGGATTCCTGCATAGTTCAATTGGGTGCAGTTTTCTGTGTTGGCCTAGTGATGAGATTGGCAGATAAAATTGGCATAAGCAAATGTGAAGTAGCATTGTGCTAAAAGCTTTCCTAATATATCTGTCACATTGGGCGAGATTTTCCAAACAAGCATTATAGCAGAACTGACTGTAGATACGTACACACATCACAGTAGATTCATGCACAGCCCACACAGGCAACCTCCAGACTAGGGTGTCCGAGAAGGCCAAGCATTAGGCATCGATGCTGGAATGCCAGCCTTAGATATGTTCAAGGCCTTGCAGTCAGAAAGACTTTATGAGAACGGCAGCCTGATGAGCAATTTGGAGCCCATGTTGCTATGTGGGATGAGGGTGGGATTTATGGCACTGGAAAGATTTGTTGATTTTGGGGGCAGAGAAGGTGAATTCATATAGTGACCAACTGGGAATGACCCAGCTACACAATCTTTCTAATCTATGCCAAAGCTGTACAGAGAAAACTTATTTGTGAATAGGATTGCCAAATTTGTTCCCAGTGACAGAAAATCTATACTTGGTAAGTAGGGAAATTCCAATAGGTAACAGAGAAAACGGGCAGGTTCTGTCCTAATTTCCTGCTCCTACTTGTTCTGGGATTTAGTTGCAGTTCATAGCATCTGGTTCCTGTGCATTCACAGAAATAGGCCCAAGTACCTGTCAGAAGGAAATGAATTGAGAGAATCTTCAAGTCACTCAGAACAGTGAAAGTAACTGAAAATTAAATTAAACCATTGAAGTCGGTTGCCTATAAACATGATGGTGATGATAAGCTAACATTTATTAGACTTTTGGGATACACTAGGAACTACACTATGAGATTTTTGTGAACTATTTTATGTAATGTTCCTGATATTTTGAGGTAGATTTTATTATTATCTCTTTTTATGGATATAAGTAACTCAGCCAACATCACACAGGTAGCAAGCAGCAGAGTTGGGACTTGAACTCAGGAAGTCTAAGGGTTTGCATAGGAACCACTGAACTCTTTGGTTTTATGAGTGGCATTACTGGGGCCTTTCATAGTCTACTGTGTACACATTCCCAGTCTTGTTAAGTGTGTGTAATGAAATTCTGTTACTTATATTATTTTTTTAAACGAAAGAAAAATACCAAAAATAAATAAATAAATAAATGGATTTAAGCAAGGAAGCCTACCAAAATGTTTTTATTGTTGTTTTTGAGACAGGATCTCACTCTTGCTGCCCAGAGTGAAGCGAAGGCTGGAGTGAAGTGGCTTGATCATGGCTTTCTGCATTCTTGACCTCCCAGGCCCAAGCAGTCCTCCTGCCTTAGCCTCCCAAGTAGCTGGGACACTACAGGCACATACCACCGGGCCTGGCTAATTTTTTAATCTTCCTGGAGACAGGGTCTCTCTATGTTGCTTAGATTGGTTTCAAACTTCTGGGCTTCAAGCAATTCTCCCACCTCAGCCTCCCAAAGTTCTGGGGTTACAGGCATGAGCCACCATACCCAGCCCCCAAAATGATTTTAAAGAATGGAAATCAACTTTGAGACTCTACATCCAGTATTTTATAATGGATGTATTTCCATAGCATGACTTGAAAATGTACCTACTTTATACATGTGTGAAAGGTGCTTTCTATTCATGTGTAGACTCTTAAGGGAGCTCCTTTTACTATCAAATGTATACATTATTACCCCCTTAAATTTCAGTAACTGCTGGTCATATAATCAATTTTAAGTTGCTGCTCAGTTTTATAGAATAAATGTTTAATATTAGACTGCTAGAATATTAACAAATGCCATTCATTATTTTTCAGGAATGAGTATAATACTAATTGTTTCACATGTCCAGTTAAATCTGTTTGTGTGATAAAAGAGAATGCTATGCTGCACCAGATGTAGCACATTGTTCTAAAATCCTGTGATATATTTGTCAAAACTATTTTCCAGTTTATTATCTTTACTCTAGAGTCTAATTTATAACTAGTATATATAGTAAGGCATTTTATATTTAAGATAAATCTATTATTAAATGAAAATATTTCTCATCAATTGGTTATAGGTAATAGCTCATTTTATTTCCTTTGTTTTATAAATCTATTATTTTTCCAGTTACTTTTCCAGTTACTTGGTTCTCATGAGTAGATTAGAAATGGGAGATCTTGGCTGGGCACGGTGGCTCACGCCTGTAATCCCAGCACTTTGGGAGGCCGAGACGGGCGGGTCACGAAGTCAGGAGTATGAGACCACCCTAACTAACATGGTGAAACCCTACCTCTACTAAAAATACAAAAATTAGCCAGCATGGTGGCCTATGCCTGTAATCCCAGCTACTCAGGAGGCTGAGGCGGGAGAATCGCTTGAACCTGGGAGGCGGAGGTTGCAATGAGCCGAGATTGCACCACTGCACTCCAGCCTGGGCGACAGAGTGAGACTCTGTCTCAAAAAAAAGAAATGAGAGATCTTAGAAATGAGAGCAGAAGACCATTCTTCCTCTTCTCCCCTTTTTAAAGCCCCAGTTTCAGATATTACAAGGCTCCAGCATGTTTTGTCACCACTGTCTGTTGTGTGAAAGAAAATGAGAATACACATTTGCAAATGAGATTTCCCTAAAGAACTATCTCCCTGTCTGTTTTAAAAAAGAATCCTAGTAGGAGTACATTTCTCTTACTTTTGGATAATAAATACTATGTGAGGCACTCTTTCTCTTCCTTGGATGCTTCTTCAGATTTTGATGGAGAAGAAACATGAACCGGGTTTGCTCTCTGCATTCCTTTGTCTGATTTCCCAAATGTTCTTGGTTGCACTTCCCAGAAAGATGGAATGTCTGGGACTACTCAGGGGAAACTGTTAGGTGCAGCTGCTCTCCCCTCCAGTACTGGCCATCGCTCAGTTCCCCTGAAGGGAATATTCCTACATGGCTTCTCCAGTGGTGTAACACAGCTCTTCTGCCAGCAGCCTCGGCCAGGGGCCAAAGGACCAGAAAGAGGGGGAGGAGGTAGAGTCTCCTTAGCCACCCCAGAGGTATCTTCCTGCCCCGAGGACATGAAGTGAACTTAGTGCATACCATAGTGTTTTAGACGAAAAGTAAGAGTGGCTCCTGGGAGCTAATCTTTAATAAAGGAGCATGTTGTTTTGAAAAATGTGATACTAATAATTTGTGGCAAAGGTTTAAGTTCTAGTGAAATAAAGTTAATGGCCATGTATTTGTGATCTCAAGCAATAGGTTGGCTGCTTTCCTTTGAGTCTGGGAGAGTTCTAGCATTTTCCTTAGAGGATAAGTCACCTTTCCAGTCTTGATCATGAATTGAGGCATTTCTTGGCTTCCCTGGCATTACCGTTTAGCTTGTCCAGAGTACTGGGAAAATGGCACGTTACCAAACTCCTTGATGAGGGAAAACAAAAGCTGGTCATTGAATTGGAGGGATGATTTTCATTGCTCTCTCTTCATCCCTTCTTGTCATTTCTGCCTCTCTCACAGGTAAATGTGTTCATGCTCACATTTAGGGTGGATGCCCTGGGACACAGGCAGACATGGAGCAACATACTTGTGTCTGGCAGGGTTAAGCCCTACAAATCCCAGCACGTGTTCTTACAACTCATCTGGTCCCCATGACAACTGCGTGAGGAAGGGATTTGGGCTGATAATTTCTTCAATATCTAAATAATGATCGGCTCTACCTCATCCTTTGGACACGAAATTTTATTTTATTTTTTGGAGCAGGGTCTTACTCTCTTGCCCAGGCTGGTGTGCAGTGGCACAGTCATGGCTCACTGCAGCCTTGACCTTCCAGACTCAAGCAATCCTCCTGCCTCAACCTCCCTAGTAGCTGGGACTACAGGCAAGGACTACAATGCTAGGCTAATTTTTAAAAAAATTTTTTGTAGAGATGGGGTCTCACTATGTTGCCCAGGTTGGTCTCCAACTCCTGGGCTCAAGGGATACTCCCACCGTGGCCTCCCAAAGTGTTGTGATTACACATGTGAGCCATCACCCCTGGCCTGGACGCAAATTTTGAAACACAATAATAACTCTATCACTATCTTCCCCTCACTCTAGTGGGTTGCAATGGATGGTTTGGGGGTGGTCGTTTTGCAGATCAATTTCTATGTGCCCTAGAGAAAATAAGCTGTCATGCTAACAAAGTTATTAGGCATATCAAACATATCAATATATGTAATGAAGAAGGAGGCAATAAGTCCTTGAGTATTTAGGAAATATTTAATCCTACACATTAATCATTAAACAAATAAACAAAGCTCCCACATGAAGTAGAATGTGAGTTTCTCAGGCCAACCTGAAGTTTAGAACTATTTTAGGGTAGGCAGGTCATGGGCTTCATTTGCTTCTGAGATTTTCCATGAAAGAAATGTCTGTTCCTCTGAGGAAGCCCGCAGCCATGGGTACCTCTGCAAGGCACAACTAAATGGAATGTCTGTAAAAAGCACAACCCTCTGTGAAAAAATAATTATGAGGCACTCTGGAATTCTGAACACTGCATATTAGTGATAATAAGAATTATTGTTATTTTAGGTTATATAAATGTATAGCAGTTGTTCCAAAAAAGTGCTTATCAGCCGGGTGCAGTGGCTCACGCCTGTAATCTCTGCACTTTGGGAGGCAGAGGCAGGTGGATCACTTGAACCCAGGGAGTTCAACACCAGCCTGGGTAACATGGTGAAACCCCCATCTCCACAAAAAATACAAAAAACTAGCCGGGTGTGGTGGTGCATGTCTGTCATCCCAGCTTCTCAGGAGGCTGAGGTGGGAGGATTGCCTGAGCTTGGGAGGTGGAGGCTCCAGTGAGATGGCACCACTGCTCTCTAGCCTGGGTGACAGAGCCAGATCCTGTTCAAAAAAAAAAAAAGAAAAGTCTTTATCATAATATAGCTTAAAATATGTTAAAAATGTGAATATATCTCTATATAATTGTATATATTTAATGTATAATATAATTACACTATATGATTATAATTGACATATTAACATATTTTATATTATATTATAAATATATTTCTATGTATTTAATATACGTACATTTAATGAGTGAAATACTGTGATATCCAGGTTTACTTCAGAGCTATCCTGGTATATGTGTGTGGGGGGTGGGGGTGGCAGTTAGGTGGTGCTTAGAAGAAATAAGATTAACTGTGAATAGACAGTTGGTGAAGCTGGGTGACAAACATGACAGTTCAGGATACTATTTTCTCCATTTTCAAATGTATATTAGAAATTTTTTATAATAAAAAAGTTTTTTTTTTTTTTTTTTTTTTTTTTGGCTGGGTGCAGTGGCTGACGCCTTTAAATCCTAGCACTTTGGGAGGCTGAGGTGGGCAGATTGCCTGAGCTCAGGAGTTCGAGACCAGCCTGGGCAATGTGGTGAAACCCTGTCTCTACTAAAAATACAGAAAATTAGCTGGGCATGGTAGCGTGCACCTGTAATCCCAGCTACTCAGGAGGCTGAGGCACAAGAATTGCTCGAACTTGGGAGGCGGAGGTTGCAGTGTGCTGAGATTGTGCCACTGCACTCTAGCCTGGTCGACAGAGTGAGACTGTCTCAAAAAAAAATAAAGTTTTTTTTGAGAATAGACAAAGATAATTTTAATGTGTAAATTTGAAATGATTTCTCCAAAAAACTTAGACAATAAATCTACGGTAAAAATTACTGTGATAGTGGCATAATGAAAACTTCTGTGTAGATGACAATTCCAAAAGGCCAACAATCAACAATAAAAACAAAAAGCTTAACCTTATTGGTAAACAGGAAAATGAAAATTAAAACAAAACTCATTTGACTTGGAAACTTAATAAAGCTGACATTCCCTTTTTTTTTTTTTTTTTCTTACTTTTAGAGACAGGGTCTCACTCTGCTGCCTAGGCTGGAGTGCAGTGGCACAATCATGGGTCATTGCAGCTTTCACCTCCTGGTCTCAGGTGATCCTGCCACCTCAGACTCCTAAGTAGCTGGGACTACAAGCACATCCACCATATCAGGCTAATTTTTGAAAAAAAATTTTTTTTTTTTGAGACGGAGTCTCGCTCTGTCACCCAGGCTGGAGTGCAGTGGCGCCATCTCGGCTCACTGCAAGCTCCGCCTCCCGGGTTCACGCCATTCTCCTGCCTCAGCCTCCCGAGTAGCTGAGACTACAGGCGCCCGCCACTATGCCTGGCTAATTTTTTTTTGTACTTTTAGTAGAGACGGGGTTTCACCGTGTTAGCCAGGATGGTCTCTATCTGCTGACCTCGTGATCCGCCCGCCTCGGCCTCCCAAAGTGCTGGGATTACAGGCGTGAGCCACCGCGCCCGGCCTAATTTTTGAACTTTTTGTAGACATGGGGTTTTGCCATGTTGCCCAGGCTGGTCTCAAACTCCTGGGCTTAAGCAATGCACCTGCCTTGGCCTCCCAAGGTGTGTAATCACAACTGCTGGGGTTACAGGTATGAGCCACCAGGCCGCATTTCCAAATTTTGATAACAATTCAGAAATTAGTAAATAGCATAAGCTACTACTGTGTGCATAGATTGGTAGAATCATTTTGGAGAAATATTTGGCAGTATACATTAAATTTAAACTTGAGTCCTCTCAAAAAAATGAATTCTTATCCTTGGTATATGCTCCAGAGAAATGCGTGTTTATGTATGTACACCAAAAACCATGTAGCTGTTTATAATTGCCAAAATCATTGGGAATGAAACAAAAAGCCTTTAATAGGCAAAAATTTTTTTCTTCAAACCATCATAATGTTCTGTATAGAAAAAAACAACATTTTTTCTCCCTATTGTACTGCTTTTACTCACAACACTTCACTGCTGACAATGGATTGTGTGGATTTTCATTTCCTCACACCAACCAATTCTCCAAGACCAAGTGGGTGTCTAACAATTCAGTTCAATTCATCTCAATTCTGTCACTAACCAGAGTTAGCACCAACCTCACTGATTAAAGGCTGAATCCCACTAGACTGCCTCCCACTTCACTTGCCAACTACAAGTAGTAGGTTCCCAGGTTACCCACAACTTCTGTCTGACTTGATTACAAATCAGAGGTTCTGATGACCCCCTCCCTTAGGTTCAGTAATTTGGTGGAGCACCTCACAGAAATCAGAAAGACAGTTTACTTAAATGGAAGTGGTGAGAATCAAAATGCAGTCACTACTGTTGAGAAAATCCTGATAAATAGAGCTAGGGAAGGCCTCCAAGAGAGGGTTCTCATGCTTGTTTGCTTGATAACAAAAAAGACTATGCAAAAACCACAACCTTGCACAAAGGCTATCACAAACTTACACAAAAAAATACTTCTGAAAGAACTTATGCCCAGCAACTGCCTGTCCAGTTTCGGACTGTTGTCATCCTTGTTATTGATCTTTGTAGCCAAGAATAAATATTTCAAAACAATTATATAATCTTTGTATTTTTTTTGAAGACCTTTGTCTTCCTTTACCTTCCTGAATATGCACATAGTTTACTAAGGCATGAGTATTCCCATTACAGTGTTTTATTCTCAGGTAAGTATCTTTCCCTCTAGGGAGGATCTCTCTGTTATTTAGGTTGGCGCTTACTATTGTGGACTTATAACACAGGATATTTTAAATAATACAAATGAGCAGCCAGATGAAGCAGTACCTTGGACAAGGTCTGGAAGGATTTCAAGCACAGGAGCTTCTGTCCCCGTGAAGTTGGGGTTAGTCACCCTCCTAACATGGGAATGTGTTCATCAAACTGGAAGCTCTCCAAAACCCTTACTCTTGGAATTTTTACGGAGGCCACATCATGTAGGCATGACTGATTATTAACTACATTTCTAGCCCTTCTCCCTTCTCCAGAGAATAGGGGATGGGGCTAAAAGTTCTAAGCTTTTAATCATGGCTTGGTCTTTCTGGTGATCAGCCCCATCCAGGAGATGAACAAGAGACGCCTCAGTAAAACGAAAGACACTCCTATCACCCAGGAAATTCCAAAGTGTTTAAGAGCTCTGTGTCAGATATTCCTATCACTAAAGAAATTTCAAAGGTCTTAGGAGCTGTATGTCAGAAGCTGCATCAAAGTTTAACTATTAGAACAAAAGATTCTCCTAGAACCGCTATTTACAAGGTTTCTAGGAGCTCTGTGTTAGGAAC
Organism: Homo sapiens; assembly: GCF_000001405.40. Taxonomy (NCBI): domain Eukaryota; kingdom Metazoa; phylum Chordata; class Mammalia; order Primates; family Hominidae; genus Homo; species Homo sapiens. Next base: position 80,379,877 of record NC_000013.11, read on the forward strand.
CAGGGACAGAGACCAATGTATATATTTCCTATTATTTCAGTGTTTATCCCTGGTCTCTGATCACAGACCCCTCACCAAAAAATGTTCATATCTACCAGAACAGTTACATTTAGTGTAGCATTTATAGAACAGATAGAGCAGTAGTACCAATACATGTATGCCTAACATTTGGAACCCAGTATGGAGAAAGGATAGATTTAAATAAACAATTAAAAGGCTGGGCGCAGTGGCTCACGCCTGTAACCCCAGCACTTTGGGAGGCCGAGGTGGGCGGATCACGAGGTCAAGAGATTGAGACCATCCTGGCCAACATGGTGAAACCCGGTCTCTACTAAAAATACAAAAAATTAGCCGGGTGTGGTGGCAGGAACCTGTAATCACAGCTATTTGGGAGGCTGAGGCAGGAGAATCACTTGAACCCGGGAGGCGGAGGTTGCGGTGAGCTGAGATTGTGCCATTGTACTCCAGCCTTGGCAAAAAGAGTGAAACTCCATCTCAAAAAAAAAAAAATTAAATTGTCCCATAAGGCTGTTTCATATTCTTTTTTTTTTTTTTTTTTTTTTTTTTTAAGAGACAGGGGTTTGCTGTGTTGCCCAGGCTTTAGTACAGTAGTACAATCCTGGCTCACTGCAACCTCAAACACCTGAGCTCAAGCAATCCTCCGACCTCAGCCTCTAGAGTTTCTGGGACTGCAGATGTGCACCACCATGCCTGGCTAATTTAAAAAAATTTTTTTGTAGAGACAGGGTCTCACTATGTTGCCCAGGCTGGGGTCTGAAATTCCTGGCCTCAAGTGATCCTCCTGCCTCAGCCTCTCAAAGTGCATTTGGATATTCTTATACTAATATGATTATTCTTACCCCCTCCTTCATCTACACCTATTTTTGCCTTATAATAAGGTTTTATAGATTTATTTAGCACAAGAATGAGCTGATGGTTAACTAGATAAAGTTATTCAACAAACCATTTTCCCTAGGTATTTCATCCTGAGGAGGCTTTAACTCCATCTTCCAGTACGCTTTAACTCCATCTTCCAATATGCTTTAACTCCATCTTCCAATACACTTGATCGTCAATATCAGATCATGAAACTTATTTACATGAGGTAGTTTAGTCTTACCAACAATGCCAGTATTACATCTTTTTGTGTTGTGACCATGGTATAATTCAATTTCATAAAAAAGCAAGAATTTCAAAGGTATTTGCTCTTCCTTTCCCACAGAATCTACTCTTGCTCACACAAGGGCAAATGTCAGTACAATTAGACAGGACAGTTATTTCTGTAAATTAATTGGGAACAAAGCCAGTCAGCCCATCTTATCTCTCAGGTTTGTACTGAGGCTGAGTTCCATTGTGTGTTATTACACAGCAGGGCCCACCTCACACCTATGGGGAGGACACAGTAATATTTACAAGACCTCCTATCCTTATTAACTGTCTCGTGGGATATATTTTAATATCAACCAGTTACAGATGTGAGAACAGTCCTATTTGTGTAAATTACAAGTGTCCCCAGAGAACTTCCACATGTTTGGGGAGCCATAGGACTCACACAGGTGTGCCCCTGGAACCTCAGCAGCTAGAATAGAAGGCCATCGCCTCATGCCCACTTCAGTTTTCATTTGAATTAGTCATGAGGCTACGTTGGGTTCCAGCACAGACCCATTTCCAACATTGGATTTTAGCAGTGTCCAGTGTTATTTATTGAGTCTGCCTAACCCACTTTGCTAATGCCTCATTATCTTCCCAGGCTGATCCCCTTTGCCTTCTTCCCAAAAGAGCATTCCTTCTCTTCTAGTTAATACATCTTTTTCCTTTGAATGCTACTCCTCATTAAAGAGCAAACACAACTCATCTTAGTATACCTAGCTTGGCATCTATCTACCCTGTAGCCCGTTTCTGTCTTGTGGGCCAGTGTTGTTTAAGCCACCATTAAACTATTAGTTACTATCGTGCACTAATAACACCAGTGCACTTAGAATACGTTTTGCATCCAGAAATGTTGGATCCCTCATACTAGGCTTAGATGAGCAATCACACGCAGATGTAATTTAGTTTGAGTGTACTATGAGGCCTCCCAGGATTTCCTTGTCTCAGTTTGGGGCCATTCTTTAGGGGTAATTTGGATCTACCAAGTGATGCCCCCTACTTTAATTCCATCAGAAAAACACATTGTTTTTTCCCTTCTTTTCTTTTCTTTCTTTTCTTTTTTTTTTTTTTTTGAGACAGAGTCTAGCTCTGTCACCCGGGCTGGAGTACAGTGGCACCATCTCAGCTCACTGCAACCTCCGCCTCCTGGGTTCAAGCAATTCTCCTGCCTCAGCCTCCTGAGTAGCTGGGATTACAGGCGCCCACCACCATGCCTAGCTAATTTTTGTATTTTTAGTAGAGTGGAGAAAAAAAAGAATATGAAATAGCCTTATGGGACAATTTAATTGTGTATTTAGTTTCACCATGTTGGCCAGGCTGGTCTCAAACTCCCGACCTCAGATGATCTGCCCACCTCAGCCTCCCAAAGTGCTGGGATTACAGGCGTGAGCCACCATACCCGGCCCCCCCTTATTTTCTCTAATAGGTTTCCATCCATAAAAACAAGGTTGATACATAATTGTGCATGGAACATTGTGGGATATTGGCCATGCTGCATTATATTTCAAAGCCCATTATAATAACCAGGGCATTTCTAAGCATTGGATCATCAAGGTTTATAGTTACACAGTGATTACTGTGTTTGGAGCTGCATATTACATGGTTTGAAGTCCTAGCAGAAAGCAGTTCTCAGAAATTTCTTCCCAAATGATATCTTTTGTAGTAGATGTCATATTTTCTTTCATCCACAGGCCTTAATGCAGCAGCTGTCCAAACAGGATGCCATCCATTCATCTTGGATCTGCCATACTTAAACTAAGTGGCTCTTTGTTGAATTGACAGCTGTGCATAGGGCACTGTCTATGTGGCAATAGATTCTGGCCGCTTCTCAGGTGGTTCCAAAGTCAGTCCTGAGCTGAATCCAGCAGCACACCAGCCACCATAGGACACTGTGGGTAAAGGGGAGACCTGGGCATGGTGGTTCCTATCCTGGTTGTGGTGTTGGTCACGTTGTGCATCGCTGAGCCTCAGACCCACCTCATTCTGACAAAGGGCAGCAAGTCTGGTGATAAAGATGATGCAGAGCTAAAACAAAGAGTTTTTCTAAAATGTTGACATATCCATCAAATATATGCTGAGGGCAGAGACAAGCAGATTCTACTACATCACTGATTTTAAATATATATATATATATAAAAGAATTGAAATTTTTTCATTTGTTCAGAGGGTTTCCAATGAGGAATTAATGCTTTTGTAAAGATTTCCTCTTTCTGCATGTTGAAATTGCTAATTTAGGCTGGGTACAGTGGCTCATGCCTGTAATCCCAGTACTCTGGGAGGACTAGGTGGGAGGATCACTTGAGCTCAGGAGTTGGAAACCAACCTGAGCAACGTAGTGAGACTCCATCTCCACAAAAACTAAAAATAAAAAATTAGCCAGGAATGTTGGTACAATGCCTGCAGTTCCAGCTACCTGATAGGCTGAGGTGGGAGGATCACTTGAGCCCAGGAAGTCAAGGATGGAGTGATCTGTGATCATGCCACTGAACTCTAGCCTAGGTGACAGAGCAAGACCTTGTCTCAAAAAAGGAAAAAGAAATTTCTTATTTAATAATACTTTTTAATGGATACACTTTAAGATTAATTCAAGGCTGGGCGCGGTGGCTCACACCTGTAATCCCAGCACTTTGGGAGGCTGAGGTGGGTGGATCACAAGGTCAGGAGATCAAGACCATCCTGGCTAACACGGTGAAACCCTGTCTCTACTAAAAAATAAAAATAAAAAAAAATTAGCCGGGCATGGTGGCGGGCGCCTGTAGTCCCAGCTGCTCGGGAGGTTGAGGCAGGAGAATGGCGTGAACCCAGGAGGCGGAGCTTGCAGTGAGCTGAGATCATGTCACTGCACTCCAGCCTGGGCAACAGAGCGAGACTCCGTCTCAAAAAAAAAAAAAATTAATTCAAATATTACATTCTCTGTGAAGTGTTGCTTAATTCTTTAGGCTGAGTTATTTGCTCCCTCTAAATGTTTCTTTTCTTCTGCTGATTTTTTTTTCTCCCATTATATGACTTTATTCAAGCACTCATTCATTCATTTAGTAAATACTGAAAATCTGCTAAGTGTTGGTTAAATGTATTAGATGCATATTTATAATTATTTGTTTTCATATCTATTTCTTCCATTAGACTACGCAATTCAAACTCCAAGAACAGGACTTGTGCTATCCTCTCTTGCGTTTACATTGCCTATAGCATTGCCTAGCATGTAGTAAATGCATAATGAATGACTGTTAAATGAATGACAGATTGACAATATATTGGAAAGCTAAACACCTAGTTTCTGAATAAAACAATCACCATTTATAGAAACTTTTTGAATACACCAAATCTTTTGATAGCAGAAATAGCTCTATATCTATATTCATTTAATGGAATCAGATGTCACAAAAATACGAATTCTGCTCTGTTCATATAGGTGGATACGTAATTAAAAAAAAGGAAACAAACCTGAAAATGTTGTGCCTCTGTACCAAAAGCAATAATATTAAAATATATTGAGCCTTTACTATGTGCTAGAGGTATTGGAACTCTTTAAATGCATTAACTGAGTTAATCCTCATAACAACCCTTCTATTTAAGACGTAAAAAATTGAGGTGCAGAAAGTTTAAATAACTTGCTGAATGTCCCACTTACTAAGTGAAGGATCCCAGATTTAAGGCCAGGCAGTGTATCTCCTGTTTGCATTCTTAACTACTATGCTGTACTATAAAGTATTAGACTAATAAAGTATGTTCAATTTTTTCACATGCTTAGGAACTCAGCTCCAATGCCTGTCCTTATTGTAGCACCCGAAGTCTTAGCTTAGCACTAAGCCTTGGGGTGTGCTAAGCTAAGCCCTGTGATGCTTGGCTCACAGACCAAGAGTGTGCCAAAGACATCAGGCATGCTGTAGACATCTCTCTCCTGTTTATTTTGTATCCCTATTTCTAGTCCTGCGCATTGATATGGTCTCCTGTGCCTAAAGAAAATACTTGAAGATTTAATATAAGTTATCCTGATTTGGTTAATATAAAAAGCTCTATAGAAATCATACCTCAAGCCTAGGGGAGAAAAGGAATTGCATTAATGAGCCTTGAGCCCAACAATGGCCTCAAGATAACTCATCCCACGTGAATGGGTAGGAGATCCAGTGGTGTTTACCATGAGAACTGTGGTTAGTTTGCTAGGGCTGTCATGGCAAAATACCACAGATTGGGTGACTTAAATAACAGAAATTTATTTCTTACAATTGTGGAGCCTGGAAGTCCAAGATCAAGGTGGTTTTTTTTCTAAGGTCCCTCTCCTGATGGCCTCATTTTAACTTAATTACCCCTTTGAAGACCATATCACCAAATGCAGTCATATTCTGAAGTCTTTTTTATGTAACATAAAGTATAAAACTCCAACATACTGTGTACTGACGTACAAGAGGTTAGGGCTTCAACATGTGGATTTTGGGGAATAGGATTCTTTCTCTAAGGGACTAATTTTTCTTTGTTCCTCACTTAGAACACCCAAGCAGTAATAGACTTGGACCGCGGGATTTTCTTTTGAAAGGCAGGATGGAGCACAAACTCTGAAGTTAGACTGCTACCGGTGTAAATCCCGACTTGATCACTTACTCCATTTTTTGCTTTGTGCTCTCTGGCACTCAGTTTCCCCATTTGTAAAATCTGTGTAATATCTTCGAGAAAATGAGATAATCTGTGTAAAATTTGGTGACATAATCTGTGTAAAATGACTGTGGCAACAATGAAGGCAGTAAGGTTAGTTCCATTTCTCTCTGTTCAAGGAGTAGGTAAAGGTTTCTGTTAGAATCTTGGGAAGACGTCCTTTGCTTGCTCCTCTAGTGAGAATTCAGTATTTTCCCAAGGGAAAGAAAACTCCGAGTATACTTGAGAGTAGTTGAAATACAACTTTTAGGTATACCATGGATTACTTAGGCTTTTGTGGGTTGGACTGGGGACTAATAATTACGTAGAGCCCTTTATATGGGGAAATGATACTCAGTTTGGGAATAAGAAATAAGGTGTCAGGAGCTAAAGAAGGGGACAAAAAGATGTGTTGGATGGGAAATCAAGGACCCAACTACATGGTTGCTGAATAAACTAATAAAGAAAAGCTATCACTAAGATGAAGCAAACATAGAGGTGTTTCAGGGGCAGCTATAGCTCAGTGGTTTTCAAAGGAAACCACATGTGGGGCCACAAGACATCTCTCAGCTTGAACCTATTGGTGGAGCTCAGGCTTATGATATATTGTTAAGATGAACTGAGCAATACTCACTTGCAATTAGAATCCTATACAATTTGTTAGAGTAAGACCAGGAAGAGTAAGACTGGATAGTGGTCTGCCATTTGAGGGCACCTAATAAGCATTTTCTGTGCATAATTACTGCTCACACACTTTGCCCTTTTATCTCATCATAGAAATAGACTGAATAAGGTATAATTTATAGTTTATCACCATATTTCTTTGGCTTTCAGATCACTTCTAGAAAACATTTCTGATTATATGTATTTGTATGTGTGCATATGTATTATGATAACTATCATAATGGTTTACAGTGGAGCTGCATGAAAAAAAAATAAAGGAATAAAGTTAAGTAGAAAATGCCAACATACTGCATACTGGTAATTTTCCACTACTTAAGAGAAAATGTCACTTTTCTCCCAAACAATCCAATTCTTACTCTTATCACCAATGTACATAACATGATTGCTATTGCATATCTGCTATGTAAACATTGCTTTAATATTTTTCATTACTTTTGTCCAAATGACCCTGAGTAAATGTAATATCTGGCACAAGGTGCTGGAGTTGTGGCACTGTTTGAAAGCCAGTGGCTTTGTTGTATAACTTGAAACCCTCAGAACTTTGGCACAGCTAGAGGTTTTTTTAATTTTTTATTGGAAATTTCATTTTTATTATCCATGAAGCTCTATTGTCTAGTAATCAAACACTAAAGGCTAAATGAAACCAAATAATTGATATAATTTTAACTCTCTAATGGGGTAATAATTTTAAAGATGCTATACACATGAATTGCACCCAGTAGTTGGCAAAGTGTTACCATTTACACACACACACACACACAACCCTTTTCAGTAGAAATAAAATTCATTTTTACAAGAAGCTTACTTTCTAAAAAAGAAGGAATGTAATCTCCTCATTATCTTTCTGTGAATGCCTTCATATTGACTAATGTTAACATTTGCAGAGAATTTTTTAAATCTCTAAATCACAGTTGTATTATTGTTCAATGCAGACAATCTATCTGCTCTCTTCCTACTGAATCAGGCATCTTTCAAGAATGTTTAGATTTCTATGTTATACTGCTTAGAACCAAAGTACACAATATTTTTTTCATTATAGTGAGAAATTAAGTAGCAACTGTTCTGACACAATATTTAACAATCCATTTAAAAATAACTTTTATTTACTCTCCATGTCAAAAATGAAATGAGTGTATACATGTTGAATGACCCTTTCTATGCTTACAAAGTATTTTATTATAATTTTTTTCTGAATAATTTTTAAAGTAAAAACTTAATAGATGGTTAAAAGAAACCTCTCAAATGTTAATCCATAATGCTCACAATAAAATCATTAATTCTCTTAAAAATAAAAAAAATACGCTAACATTATAAACAAGGTGGATATGAATTTTCGTCATTGAAAAGCTAAAGCTGAATTAACAACACATTGGAAATAATTGACATTTATTTTTTATCATCATCATTATCATCATCACCACAGCCACAATCACTGCAGAATTTATTATTCTGGATTTTGTCAAAAGCAGCTGTACAACAGAAGCTTTTTCCCTATAAAAGTATTCTGAAATCCTCATAAAATCCAAAGTAGTTCAGTTTTTTTCCTCATGGAGGAAAATCTGTTTATCAAAAATTTAATTAGATAAACTGAGGAAGAATTTGAATGAAAAACAATGAATAAGCTATTGTTGTAGAGCTAGACTATGATGTGAATGCAGAGTTCTAGTTCCTGGCTTCTAGATTTGACTTTGCCACTTGAAAGTTGTTTGATCTTAGGTAAATCATTTAACCCTCCCACTATCATTGCCTAGGGTCTTGGTTTCCACATCTGTAAAATGGAGCCTCAATACCTTATCCTGCTTACTGCACACTTACTACACTTTTAAGATCAAATGAGATCATGCAAGTGAAATGCTGTCGGTATTTCCAAGTGTTATGCAAATGTAGTGGTCGTTATTATTTTTTGAGTAAAGGAGGAAAGCTTGGTGGATGGACTTGCTCAGAATACCTGAGTCCAAGTTTCTGTTCTTTCACTTACTAGCTAGGTGGACTTGAGAATATTGGTGGAGCTTTTTCTAAACTGCTAAAAAGGACATAAAAATGCCAACTGCACATATAGAATATATAAAATCTTTATGAAATTCAAGGTAGTCCAGTTTTCTTCCTGGATAGAGGCAAAATTGTCTGTCATAATTTTATTGAAATGAGGTTTTTCTATAAAGCAAAAAAAGAATTCGAGTAAGAGGTAATAATGCACAAGCTAAAGAATGTGTTTTCAAACCTGTTAAACTCATTGCAATACTTAAATCCACCTGCTGACGGCCCCTGAATTTTTTTATAGGATGAACTAGTGGAACGATCAGGCTTAAAACAGCAGCTGGATAACCTGTTACCTGAGAGTCAGCAAATATCCATGGTCCTCATCAAGCAGTGCCACAGAGAGAGCCCAGTAGAGGTTAACTGGAAGGTCACCAACTAACTCCCGCGTGTTGCTACTTGAACCCTTTGTTGAAAGTCAGGCAGAGCGGTCTAGGATTTCTTTGAATGAAATAATCAAATCTAGCCCATTAAGAGATGACTTAGAAAACAATGAACATGTACGTGAAAATCTTGAACTTTTTTTTTACCTAAAGCAGACTTTAAGAAATCAAATAGAAATGACTTCTGTGAAATAGAATAGGCAGTTGTTAATATAACCATATAGCAGCCTCAACATAGCAGCTTCTAACTCTAATGATTAGTAAGTTCTTGCTAATATCTCTCATATAGATTTTTATATTAGTAAGTCATTGCTAATGCTGCTTTTTATATGGCACAATTCAAAAGGACTGTGTGCCAGAAATATTTAATAAGCCCCATTCATTTGCATGGCTTTAAGCAGAGTTATGAAACCTCCACTATTTTCCTGGTTGTTCAATTTTCCTCAGAAAGTGGCTCTCATTGCTCTCCAGTTCTGTAATCTTTCTACCTCAGCTCTTTAAATTAACTTTGTGCCAGCAACCAGTCTATTTGGCTTTTGGGATGTTTTAATAAATGTTGTGCAGTTTAGCAATAGAAAGCAGGCAAAGAGTCAGAAGACCTTCCACCAGATAGCCTTTTATGGTTATGAAAATACTACAGCTTTCCACACTCTTGCCTATTTTCTCTCTCTGTTCTATTTCTGATAAAAATTACTAAAGTGAGGGAAGAATTGCAAAGGACCCAAAAGATTCAAAAGAAGCCCTGTCCCTGAAGGTCAGTGCAACAGAGAAGGAGAGATGTCTGGGTTGGTAGTCATAGAAAACTTCTCTACTTGCTTTTCATAATTAAGTCAATGCAGTGTGCTTGGTACACTTGCAAGGTGTCCATGGAAGGAGCATCCATCGGAGGCTCTGAATAACTTGTTCTGACAGATTAAAAAAAAAAGGTAACATGATCACAGATCAACAGTTGTAGTGGCCAGAGAATAACAAATACTTTTCATTTTTGAGTGTATTGAGCCCTCCCAAGAAGAGAGGGTAGAACAAACAATCAATGCCAGTGCCACATAGCATTGATACTTCTGACCAGAAAAGATATTTCCCAATCAGTCACTGGTTGAGAAAATTTTGTTCAGTAATTAATGTTGCACAACAACCATTGCCCCATCTTATGATAATAGCACTTTAACTTTGAGGGAACTTTTTTCTATCACCTGAGTCAGTTCATATGGATTGAGTGGGTTGATGCTTCTTTGGAATGTGGGGGTATATTTAACTGAATCCTAGCAAACCAGGGCTTTTTATTCCCCTGGCTAAGGAATTTGTATTCCCTTGGCTAAGGAATTTGTATTCCCCTGGCTAAGAAATATGCATACAAAGTAAGCCAGACTAATGAGACCAATTCCAGGATATTCTCTAGAACCATTGGAAAAGAGAAGCTCTTTTTGCTGGAGTTGCTAAGCTGGTAGAATGTAAACCAAGCACTGCTGGAATTCATCATATAGAGAGAAACTGTATAAGACTGAAGTTATCTCAGAGGAAAACAAAGCAAGAGATAGAAACAGTAACTTGAATCCTGAGCACCTGGATTCAGAAGTGCCTGAAGTGTAATTGATCTAGATTTTGCAATTATGTGAGAGAATAAATTCTCTTCCATTTTTTGCTTGTCAGTTTTTCAGACAGCTTTAGTGTATGATTTACATTTAAGAAACAGTCCAACTGATTTTCAAAGTGATGTATAATTTTATATTCCCACTAGCCTTGTATGAGAGTTTCAATTGTTCCACATCCTTGTCAACACTTAGTATTGTCTGCCTACTTAATTTTAGTCAATTGAATAGGTGTATGGTGGTGTCTCTTTGTGGTTTGAATTTTCATTTCTCTAATGACTATTGGATGTCTTTTCATGTGCTTATTGGTCATGTGTATATCTTTGTGGGTGAGGAGTGTGTTCAAATCTTTTGTTCATTTCTTTATCGGATTGCTTTCTTATTATTGAGTTTTAAGAGTTTTTTTTTGTATTCTAGATACAAGTTCTTTAATAGAAATATACCTTGCCAATATTTTCCTGTAGCCTGTGAATTATTTATTCTTTTAACAGCATCTTTTAAAAAGTAGATTTTGATTTTGATGAAGTTCATCAATTTTTTCCTTAATAAATTATGCTTTTGGTGTCATAGCTAAACCTTTGCCTAATCCAGGGTCACAAAGATTTTTATTATATATTTTTATAGAAGTTTCATAGTTGTAGATTTCATATTTAGGTAAATTATCCACTTTGAGTTAATTTCATATTGCAAGTGAAATTCATATTTTTGCATATGAATATCCAATTCTAGCATTATTTATTATAAAGACTATCCTTTTTACATTAAATTGTCTTTGCACTTCTGATTGTCAAAAATCAGTTGTCAATATAAGGGTGGATCTATTTCTGAATTTCCTATTCTGTTCTTTTAATATACTTGTTTATCTTTACACTAACACATTAGCAGCTTCATATTGTAGGTTTTTTTTTTCTTTGAGATGGAGTCTTGCTCTGTCTCCAGGCTGGAGTGCAGTAGCGCGATCTCGACTCACTGCAACCTCCGCCTACCAGGTTCAAGCGATTCTCCTTCCTCAGCCTCCTGAGTAGCTAGGACTACAGGCATGTGCCACCAGACCCAGCTAATTTTTGTATTTTTAGTAGAGCCGGGATTTCACCACGTTGGCCAGGATGGTCTCAATCTCTTGACCTCATGATCTGCCCGCCTCGGCCTCCCAAAGTGCTGGGATTACAGGCCTGAGCCACCGTGCCCAGACCATATTATAGCTTTTTAATAAATCTTGAAATCTGATAGTATTAGCCATCGAACTCTATTTTTCTTTTACAAATTTGTTTTGGCTATAAAATGTCCTTTTAATTTTCATATAAATTTTATAATCAATGTGTCAATTTCTTCAAAAAAAAGCCTTCTGAAATCTTGAGAAGATTTATGTATAACCTATTGATCAATTTGGAAAAAATGAACATCTTAATACTGAGTCTCTGACTAATGAAGAGATATATCTCTTCATTAGTCAGAGACTCAGTATTAAGATGTTCATTTTTGAAGAGAAGTTCAATAATGAAGAGATATATCTCTTCATTTCTTTAGGTCATTACTTTCTTTCATCAGTCTTTTAGAATTTTCAGCGTATGGGTCTTACAAATTGTTGGATCAGATTTATGCTTAAGTACTTTGTATTTTTTATGCTATTTCAAATGATACTGTTTAAAGTTTAAATTTATGGCTGGGTGCGATGGCTCATGCTTGTAATCCCAGCACTTTGGGAGGCTGAGGCAGGCAGATCTCTTGAGGTCAGGAGTTCAAGACCAGCCTGGCCAACATGGTGAAACCCCATCTCTACTAAAAATACAAAAATTAGCTGGGTGTGGTGGCACATACTTGTATTCCTAGCTACTCTGGAGGTTGAAGCAGGAGAATCGCTTGAACTCGAAAGGCAGAGGTTGCAGTGAGCCGAGATTGCACCATTGCACTCTAGCGTGGGAGACAGAGCGATATTCCATCTCAAAAAAAAAATTAATTAAAAAATAAAAAAATTTAAATTTCTAATTGTTTAAGCAATGATATAAACATATAGTTGATCTTTATTTATTGATCTTGTATCATGCAACTGTGCTAAAGAAATTTATTAGTTTGAATACCTTTTTGTATATTTCATCTTATTTTTATCATGGATAATCAAGTCACTTGTGAATAAAGATACTTCCCCTTCTTTTTACCCAGCTCCTTCCTTCCTTCCTTCCTTCCTTCTTCCCTCACTCCCTTCCCTTCCTCTCCCTCTTTCCTTCTTTCTCTCTTTCTTTCCTTCCCCTTCCCCTTCTCCTTCCTTCCTTCCTTCCTTCCTTCCTTTTGGCACTGGCCAGAGCCCTCAGAAAATGTTGAATAAAAATGATGAGAATAAAAATCCTTGCTTTGTTTCTCATCTTAGGTTGAAAATATGCATTTTTTAACTCAATTATAATGTTGTCTATATTTTTGGTAGATGGTTTTTATCATGCTGAGGAAGTAATCTTCTATTCCTAGTTTGCTGAGATTTTCTTAAAAATCAAATGGATATTGATATTGTCACTTTTTTGTGCATCTATTGAGGCAATCATGGTTTTTTTTGTTATTGTTGTTAATGTAGTGAATTCTGTTGGTTTGTATTTGAATATTAAAACAAATTTGCATGTCTAGGATAAACATTACTTAGGCATGATGTATTATTCTCTTAATATACTGTGGTAGGCTGAATAGTAGAACTCCAAAATAACAAAGTCCGAAATCCCAGAACCTGTCAATGTTACTTACATGTCAAAAGGGACTTCGTAGATGTGCACAAATTAAGGATACTGGGATGGGGAGATTATTCTGGATTATCTGTGTGGGCCATACAGGTACTCATCAGTGTTTTCATAAAAGGAAGGCAGAGAGAAGATATACTACAGAGAAAAGGTGATGTGATACTGGAAACAGAGATAAGAGGGTTATGTTTTGAAGATGGAGGAAGGGACCACAAGTCAAGGAATATAGGTAGCCTCTAGAAACTGAAAAAAGCAAAAATAAATAAATAAATAAATATAAAAATGGATTTTTCCCTTGAGCCTCCAGAAGGAATTAGCACTGCTGACACTTTGACTTTAATTCAGTTAAACCGATTTCAGACTTCTGACCTCCAAAAGTGTAAGGGAATAGATTTGTATTGTTTTAAGTCACTAAGTTTGTGGTGATTTATTTTAACAGCAATAGGAAACTCATACATATTTTGGGCGTCTAGAAGTGAGATGCGACTGTAACAGATCACCAAAAATGTAGATGTGGCATTTGAATTGGATAATGGGTACAGTCTGGAAGAATTTTAAGGTACATAATAGAAAAAGCCTGCATTGCTTTGAACAGACTGTAAGTGGAAATATAAATGTTAAAGATTCTTGGTGAAGCTCATAAGGAAATAAGGAACATGTTTTGGAAACTGGATAAATATCTTTGTTATATAGTGATAGAAAGCTTAGCTAAATTATGTCTTGAGGTTATGTGTAAAAATCTTGTAAATGATTAACTTGGATATTTAGCTGAGGAAATTTCAAAGCAAAGGGTTAAGATATGATGTGTTTTCTTTTCTTTTTGCTGCTTATAGTCAAATGGGAGGGGAAAGAGATAAATTGAGGAAAGAATTATTAAGGCAAAAAGCAACTAAGACTTGATAATTTGGAAAATTTTCAGTCTATCCAGATTGCAAAAGATGCCAAAATGAAAAGATTCACTGTCAGAAAAGAGTGCTCTTGAGAGCAATCCAAGAGAGTGAGTGGACAACTTTTTGCAAGTGCCTCAGAAGTATTGCAAGATTAAAGTATTCAGTCACACAGAAGTCTCTTTGAAAAGATTAGTCAAGTGACATATGGATTCTAATACATACATAGGAGAACCACAAAGTTTTTAAGAATGATATATCAGCAGAAACTCTGTAAGCTTTTACTGAAAGGGACAGAGGGAAGAGGAAATAAAAGAATGCTGTTGTAATTCCAAAATTTTACAGGTAGGAAACAGGCTGATAAAGTTATTCAGCTGCAAGCACATACTACCATTTATGAAAAAAAAGAAGCGTTCAGAGGATGGAGGCTTGAGACCCAAAAAGATAACCTTGAAGTCTAATAGAGTTTGCTCAGTTGGATTTCAAATTTGCTTGGGGTTGCTGACCCCTTTATTTCTTCTGCTTTTTTTTTTTTTTTCTCCAATTGGAATAGAAATGCCCATAACTATTATCCCATGCCTGTTTCAAGTATTTTGACTTTAGCACAGTGAAACAGATCTCAGAATTCTGATCTCCAGGAATATAAGATAAATTTGTGTTTTTTTAAGTCTATAAATTTTTGGTAATTTGTTGCAAAAGCAATAGAAAGTTTATACAAATATTGTTGTATTCAATCCTACACTTTGTTTTTCAGTGTTATGGGTACACAGATGGAGGAGAATTATGCTTTAGGATGGAACATACCTAAAGCGTGATTTATACCTAATTTATATGACTTAGATGATGAGATTTGGGATATCTGAGCTGATGATATTATTTACTTATTGTTTTTTATTGATACATAGTGTTTGTACATATGTAAGCAATACATGTGATATTTTGATGCATGCATGGAATGTGCAATCATCAAATCATGGTATTTAGGGTATCTATTACTTTGAATATGTATCATTTTGTTTGTGTTGGGAATATTTCAAATCTTTTCTAGCTATTTTGAAATATACAATATACTGTTGTGTA